>NC_000006.12:163858668-164010183 GCF_000001405.40 Homo sapiens
CTTCTGTAAAGTATGGCACCTGAAAGAAGTGTTAATTGCTATTACCAAGGCCATGCCAGGGCTGAAGGTGAGAAATATATCAACAAGAGATGCAAACAGGGAAATGAAGTGAGCTCCCTAATGATCTGATACGACAAACACATTGCTTTCATTACCTTTATTTACATTTGACTCATGTGACTGTTACTAAGCCAGCCTTCTTGTTACCTGGCCCATATGGTTTGGCTGTGTCCCCATCCAAATCTCATCTTGAATTCTCATGTGTTGTGGGAGGGACCCACTGGGAGGTAATTGAATCATGGGGGCAGGTCTTTCCCTTGCTGTTCTCATGATAGTGAATAAGTCTCATGAGATCTGATGGTTCTTATATAAGGGGGAGTTTCCCTGCACGAACTCTTTTTGCCTGCCGCCATCCATGTAAGACGTGACTTGCTCCTCCTTGCCTTCTGCCATGATTGTGAGGCCTCACCAGCCATGTGGAACTGTAAGTCCATTAAACCTCTTTCGTTTCTAAATTGCCCAGCCGTGGGTATGTCTTTATCAGCAGTTTGAAAACAGACTAATACACTGGCCAAATCCCTTTTCTCTCTTTTGAGAAACACTGAATGCAAAGCTTTATATTCTTATAAATCTAGTTAAATAAATATATCTTATAAACAAATACACCCACACACATTTACCTGGGCAACTGATTCAATGGATATCACTATTTATTGATATGTTCATATTGCTGGGGTCTTAGGACAAATTCTGAACCACTTGTCATGTTTGCCACTATTTTAACAAACAGGATAAATAGATAAATAATTGAATTGTTCTTTGAAGTATTTTCCTTGGATGAAATGTTATTACCTAGATAGTGCAGAGCCTCCGTGGATTCTTTCAGGCTTATTTATTTATTTTATAATGCCACTGCTACTGCCATAACAGGTGTGTTTGTGAAATAGTAAAATTGCAGTTAGACAAGTAGGTTAAGTAGATAACTGTCTTAGTGTGGCCTCCGAACTATAGCGAATGCTGCAATATCCAACACACCCAAGCAAAATCCAAATTTGTCAAGATGGAGGAAATTGGTAGCAATTGCATCAAATGCTCATTTATTTTTGTATCAAATGTAGTGTTGAGTGTTTTGCCCAAGATAAAGAAAACATCAGTACTAATGACTGACGTTAATCATTCTGTCATCTCTTTGATGCTCTCCTAGAAGAGGGAGAAATGCAAAATAAAATTTGTGCAGTTGTAACAAAAAAGCAAGTGCTTCATCTGAAGTTTTGTTCACCCAAGAAATATCCTGAAAGTTTCATTTAGCTGACTAAAGAGAAAATGTAGTAAATAACTAAAGGAAAATTACTAAGAAATGCTTAAAGAAGGCTTAGGTTAGCTGCTTGGGGACTAGCAAAATAGCAATTAAGTTTATAGAATGAAGGGATTAAAAGTAACGTGAATGAAAAGTAGAAGGAAATGAACTCCGTTCTAATCTCTAAAACTGGCTTAAATAAAATGCTCATTATAGGGTGGGTTTATGAGGCACACCAGAAGCTGCAAGGATTAGGATGCATGGATTTAAAAGCTAGGAATCTACTTTTGACGATGCTGACAAAATGCTATGAGTGGGTTCCTTTCTCGGGTGTCTCTCCAGGCTGTGCAGCAGGAATTCTATTTGAAACCAGGTTACTTTTCAGTTTTGTCATCAGTATTAAGAATTGTTTTCAACTGATGCATTCGTGGGTCAAAAACCACAAAAATCTGCATATATAGCTTATGTTTATTTTTAGAATTCTCTTCATATTAGAAAATTGTACCAAACAGGATACTGCAAAAATCATTCCTGAAATAGTTACTGCAATTTGGGAATGGAAAGTAAATGAATAACCAAATGTACCTCTAATCTTAACTGGAAGGCATTTCCATAATTGACGCTCCCAGAACCTTCTGTGAGTGATGGGCTTGAGAGCTGAGGGATTTGACTTGAAAAGGCTCTGACACTGAATGATTTATGGCCGTGTTCCTCCCTGAGCCAGCGCCCAGTATCTGCTCTGCACAGAACATGACCAGGGCTACAGGGAGCGGAAACCTCATTTAGTTATACAGGAAGCCTAAACGATGCGGCACTTCAAAGATCACTGGGATCTTAATGGGAAGCCGGCACTCCCCAGAGCAGCAAGTGAGGGCAGGAGGCCCCCAGGGAGGTGTTCTGGACCACGGTTTATCTGCTCCCAGGCTGGGGCGCTGCCTCCCAGAGATGGAACTATCTTGACTAAGCCTGGAGAAAGGATCCCCTTATCTGGCAAATGCTATTGCTTTCTGTGTGTAGCTGTTTTGTCGTCTTGAATATTTCATCACTCTGCAATCATCTTCCCTTTGGTTGGCTAAGCACTCTTATTAGGCAAACCCCTTGGTGCTGAAAGATCTGAAGCCTACTCACCACTCTGTAAAATCTTCATTTCTGGTATAGAGAGAAATTTCTGCCTTGTGAGAATATATTGGCCGCATGTGGCATAACTGAAACAACTTCAAAATTGGTGACGATTCTACCACTTCCAGAAATCAGTAATTGAATAGAGAGTAAAGCAATTAGACTAGCAGACACAACTGGATTCAATCATTTGATCATTGGATCATTGATAATTTGGAATATGTATTAAATCCAACACCGTCAGAACCAAGTTCATCTTTGTACAATCTGTAATAAGAGGACTTGCTCAGTGGATAAGCCAAGCTTACCTGGGGAATGGTTAAACGCCAAGGAAAGGAAAGGTTTTGAAGTACTCACGCAGCATCCATTCAGGTAGCAGAGCCTATATGAAATTCTGCTAGTGAATACTTTTTAAACTATGTCAGGATTATTTTGTTATCTAAGAGCTATGAAATTGTTTTTTCTTAAAGTTCGAATTAATGAAGTTTCACTGAATTAATAATAAAATCTATACCAGTTTTAGGCACACTTGTATAATGAACTTAAATAGTTTCTTATACCATCGAGATCAATTTTTAACAAAAAGAATGCATATTTGTCTCTCGTTTAGTCTGTTTTATCAAGGCGAGGCGCATAAATGGGCTCTTCCTCCTGCTGGTTTGCACAGCTCCTCTTTCTCTTCGACACCCCCACGTCCTGGCCAAGCAGATGGGCATCCCACACTTCCAGTCTCATTCCAAGATGCTGTAGGCCACATGGCAATCTTGCATTCTCCTGGCTTATGTGTTCCAGAAGTCTAGACACTTGGCAAAGGCCCTTCAAGTGTGGAAAAGTTACACGGGGGAAACGCCCTGAGTCAGAAATGGCTTCCCTTCTTCAGCTGAGATTTTTGTGGACTGAACTTGTGAGATGCAGCTGAAGTGAAGAAAGCCATGATGTTGGGAGGGTCCAGAGAGAGGCTCAGGGAAGTGTGAGGAGTGTGGGAGCAACAGAATATCCCTCTCCCCCGACCTGCCACCGGCCCTGCATCTGATTCCATAGAAGGAGCAACACTCTGGAGAGGGGATGGAGTGGACACTCTGGATGGAGGGGATGGAGGAGGGAGGAGGCATTGCCGGGAAGCATGTCCCCAGCGTGGCACAGAAACCAGGCACGAACCTGGTGCTTAGGGAGTCCGAGGAAGCAGAGGGAGCCTTCGGCCCTCAGGGGCAGGAAGATGACAATGAAGAGGGCTCAGTGGAGACTCCGGTGGATCAATGACTGAAGTTCACATGGGACAATCGATGGCACAGAAGATGGCCCTTTGGATAGAAAACATTAAAGATAAAAATCTAGCTCCCCACCCAACCCAGAAATAAAAGCTCTTTGCACTATGCGAGCCCTTGAAATCAGGACGCCACATGGGAAGACAGTTGAGGGTTCATTGATTTGTCTAAGCTGTAAAAACTTTAGCTGATATTAAGTTGTAAAAACTGTGATGGTTCTACATAAATATATCTATATTTTATATATATATTTCATATATATGTATTTCCTATTAGTTCTGTCCCCTAACAGAACCCTGACTAATACAGAAACATTCTTTTGAAAAATTACAATTCTTTACATCTGAGTTTTATGGGTTGAGATGCAGAAGTGTTAAAGATGCCTACAGTTGAGTGATTTCAAATAGACTACTGTGTTTCTGCCTTCATAGGAATTAAATTATGTCCCCACAAGTGATATGTTGGAGTCCGGAGACCCCAGAATGTGGTCAGAATGTGACTGTATTTGGAGACAGGGCCTTTGCAGAGGGAATCAGGTTACAATGAAGTCCTAATGAATGATGTGGCGGGGAGTCGGGGTGGGGTGGGGGTGGTATGTGTGTGTGTGTGCTTAATCCAGTGTGACTGGTGTCCTTGTAAAAAACAGAGAAAATTTAGATGATAGGGAAGAGAACCAGAACCGATGCTCCCTCGCAGCCTCAGAAGGAACCAACCCTGCAGACACCTTGATCTTGGACTTTGAGCTTCCAGAGCTGAGACAGTAAATTTCTGTTGTTCCGGCCAGGTTTTCAGGATTCACTGTTTTTCTCTGACTAGGTCACCAAATGAGGACTATTTATTTATTTATTTATTTATTTATTTATTTATTTTCCAGATGGAGTCTCACTCTGTCACCCAGGCTGGAGTGCAGTGGCGCGATCTCCGCTCACTTGCAACCTCTGCCTCCAGGGTTTAAGCGATTCTCCTGCCTCAGCCTCCCGAGTAGCTGGGATTATAGGTGCATGCCGCCACACCTGCCTAAGTTTTTTGTATTTTTGGTAGAAACGGGGTTTCATCGTATTGCCCAGGCTGGTCTCAAATTCCTGAGCTCAGGCAATCCACCCGCCTTGGCCTCCCAAAGTGCTGGGATTACAGGCATGAGCCACTATGCCCGGCTGAGGATGTATGATTTTTTGAATAACTGTCATTCGTCCACTCCACACTCATGGGGAGATAGAAGAGTGTTGCGGTCACAGCAATGGCAGAGCAGTTTTGTGGCTCAGGCTCCTTCCCCAATTTTGGGTTTCCCTGAGAGTCACATGGCTGGGTGATCTAAATCCTCCTGGTCCTGGGGCAGGGGTTTGCCTCTGCCACCCTGCAGGTGCAGGGCCACTGTCCCACTGTGCTGCTGTTGTCTGGCCACCTGCAGTCACAGTGCCGGCATCCAGGACGCCCTCCCCCTCTCGCTTTGACATCAGGAGAGGGGCTGCCTCCAGAGCCTTGGGAGAAGGCCACTCCTACGGCCCAGAGCGGCTGCTTTGTTGTGCCAGCAAGTGTTCCCCAAAAGGCAGGGACAATGGCCTTACTCACCTGTGAAATTCTGTTCTGGACCAGCATTGTCCAACAGGAATATAACGAGAGACATAAATTTAAAGTTTTGTACTAACCACATTAAAAAAGCAAAAGAAAATAGGCGAAATTAATTTTAATAATATATATTTCTTAACTCCATAGATCCAAAACATTATCATTTAAATTTTTAATCAATATAAAGTGTCACTGAAATATTTTCGAGTTCCAGTGTGTGTTTTACACACACAGCACATCTCAATTCAAATAGCCGGGGTTCAGGTGCTCAGTAGCTGCTAGTATGGAGCTAGTGGGCGGTACACAGCCAGTGCATTTCCAGAGCAGGAAGCCACCTCCACGCCTTCTTTCCTCATGGGCACGAGTGGCTGCCCGGGGCACAGTCTAAGCAGTGTGCTTTTGTGCCACACGTGCAATTCCCCTCCAGGAAGCGCTGGGGCAGGCCCCTGCAGCTCTTTTTCCTTCAGCCGAGGTCTTTCCCCGGGACTCAAGCAAACAGCCCCTGGTAAGCGGGTTTCCTCACTACCTGCTTCTGTTTCTCATTCTATTTTTTTCTTTTTTCTTTTTCTTCCTTTTTTTTTTTTTTTTTTTTTTTTTTTTACAAAGTCTCACTCTGTTGCCCAGGCTAGAGTGCAGTGGCACAATCACAGCTTATTGCAGCCACGACCTCCTGGGCTCAAGCAATCCTCCCACCTCAGCCTCCCCAGTACAGGGATAATACAGGCAGCCACTGTCACACACAGCTAATTTTGAAATTTTTTGTAGAGATGGGGTCTCACTATGTTGCCCAGGCTGGTCTCAAACTCCCAGGTTCAAGTGATCCTCTTGTCTCGTCCTCCCAAAGTGCTGGGATTACAGGCATGAGCTATTGCGCCTGGCCTCTTTCTGTATTTTTTTGAGACAGAGTCATGCTCTGTCGCCCTGGCTGGAGTGAGGTGGCATGATTTCAGCTCACTGCAACCTCTGCCTCCCAGGTTCAAGTGATTCTCCTGCCTCAGCTGGAATTACAGGCAGCCACCACCACACCTGGCTAATTTTTTGTATTTTTAATAGAGACGGGGTTTCACCGTGTTGGCCAGGCTGGTCTCAAACTCCTGACTTCAAGTGATCTGTCCGCCTTGGCATCCCAAAGTGCTGGGATTACAGGCATGAACCACTGTGCCTGGCCCCTCTTTCCATTTTTACATGGACTTATTGTGGCTTCCCAGTGAAGTCACTGATAGGACATTATTCTGTAGCCCTGAAAGTATGGTTTCCTGGTGAACTGATTTCCATTTTGTTTAAATAACAGCAGTCTGACTGCCTATTACCTGAGAGAATCAATGAGGAGCAGGAATGTCTGATAAGGTGAGGCACGGTTTGCTTTGACAATCACCGTCCTGTTGCGAATATTTGTTGTATCTCTGTATTTTCCACCTATTTGAAGCTTCATTGTATCTTTCACTCTATCACTCAGGACGGTTCTGTAAATTCATCCTTACATGTGATTTCCTCTCTGGGATAACTCAGTTATTCTGGCTTCTAGTATTTCATTCCCTATTAATGGGGTTGCTTGAACTTTTTGTGGTGTTTCTTCCTAGTTTATTTCTTTGATTTATTGGCACTGTTTAAGTTCCTGTTTCACACTAAATTCTTCTTTCTGATTCCATCTTACATCCTGTCCCCATAATTTCCTTCTCACCAATAAATGCTGACATATGTTAACTACTGAGTCTCCCAAGCTGAACTACAATTCATTCATCCATTCATCAATCAGACTGCTGGGCCAGATTTGTTTCTTCAGTCCTAGTTTTTACCATAGGATGGAGCTTCTCAATCCTGTTTTTTCTTTCTTTTTTTTTTTTTTTTTTTTTTTTTTTTTTTTTTTTTTTTTAGACTGAATTTTAGCTCTATCGCCCAGGCTGGAGTGCAGTGGCATGATCTTGGCTCACTGCATCACTGCAACCTCTGCCTCTGGGGTTCAAGCAATTCTCATGCCTCAGCCTCCCAAGTAGCTGTGACTACAGGTGCCCTCGCCCCGCTAATTTTTGTATTTTTAGTAGAGATGGGGTTTCACCATGTTGGCCAGGCTGGTCTCGAACTCCTGACCTCAAGTGATCCACTCCCTCTGCCTCCCAAAGTGCTGGGGATTACAGGCGTGAACCACCACGCCTGGCCTCAATCCTGTTTTAGCCTTAAATTCTGGTGCACCGGAGATGGTTGGGTCTTGATCGGCTGTGATATGCTGTGCTCATTCTGTGTGGAGAGACCTCAAAGCAGAGAACAGGCACTTGGAGGTTCTGATTTCCTGTGTTGCAGGGAACTCTCTTTTCCTCTTCACACATCCAGGGAGCGGAGGGGACATACATTCCCTGCGTGGCAGCCAGAGTCTGCCCTGGCTCTTCCCTGGAGTCCTGGATGACAGGTTGGCTGGCTTTCTCCTCTCACCGTGGCTGTGGGGTGTGGGCTGCTTCTGCCTGCCTCCTGCTGGGGAGAGCGATGCCTTCCTGAGCTGCTTTCCCGTGTCCCTGAGGCTGCTCTGGGTCAGGAGTCCCTGTGCTCTCCTCTCCATAGGTAGTCAAGGAAGTAACTATGTCCTCGGGTCCAGCCACCTGGGCGACCACACCGTCAACACCATTAGCTGCAGCCTTGCGTTGTAGCCCAGCTCATTCAAGCACAGCTACCTCCAATAAGGAATTTCCCCTGTAGGGAGTGGGCTCCTTTTAATTTTACCTGTCCTCAGGCTGACCCTTTGCTCATTAGAATAGTAAAAAACACACTCCTGTGTGGAGATTTAAGATGCTAATGAGATGGCCGAGTGCCTTGGCTTATGCCTGTAATCCCAGCACTTTGGGAGGCCGAGGTGGGTGGATCACTTAAGGTCAGGAGTTCGAGACCAGCCTGACCAACATGGTGAAACCCCGTCTCTACTGAAAATACAAAAATTAGCCGAGCATGGTGGCCGGTGCCTGCAACCTCAGCTGTTCAGGAGGCTGAGGTAGGAGAATCACTGGAACCCAGGAGGCGGAGGTTGCAGTGAACCGAGATAGCGCCATTGCACTCCGGCCTGGGAGTCTCAGGAGTGAGACTGTCTCAAAAAAAAAAAAAAAAAAAAAAAAAAAAAGACAATCAAAAGATGCTAATGAGACATGCAACTTATGAACAAGCCGGGGCAGCTGCTGTGCCTGTGCAGCCAGAGGATCACCCAGAACATGTTCACCAGCCATGCTGCTTCCCACCTGCTTATGAAGAATCCCGGAGGACCCCCGTGAAGGGAGCCTCCCCTGTTTGCTGTCTCACCTCTCAATCCGCCGCTCCGACTTATTCGGGGTCCTTTCCCTTTTACACTTAGCTATCAGTGTCCTTTCTCCCTTGCAATAAGCTGCCTCCTACCCTTTCTCTACTGCTGTGTCTCTCTGGTTTTAAATGTTTTTAAACGAAGGAGACAAGAACTGAGGACTCTCAATCGCCATCAACAGAATTATTGAAATAGCTGCTTTGGAAAATTGAAACTTGCCAACTCTCAGCACCTTCCTGCCATTCCTCCTGGTGTGAGGGGACCGGCGTGCGTTTTTTGCGGGGAAGTTACCTCCTTCCAGCCCCTCTTCTTTCCCGTCTGAATCTGGGTGGGCCCCCGAGAGCCGCGCCTCTGCCTGTCCTCTCTCATGGGAAGTCTGGGACCCTCAGACCGAAAGACGACGTGCAGCTTCCACCGGGGGCGCCTTCAGGACAGGGGCCTCGGCCTCGTGGGCGCTTTAGACTTTGGTTAAACACGGTAGAAACAGACAGGGCTCCTGACGGGATCAGCAGGACGGTCTGAGGCAACAAAGGCTCCAACACCTTTGAGCTGTAACTACCTGCCACCTACGCTGCTGTGAATACCCAGACGAAGTCTCCAGACAGAACTCCCAGGCGGGAACACGGGGGCAGCTACGTGGTTTTACTCAACCCCATATGCCTTTGCTGTTACGTTTACAAATACTGAGACCAGGCGAGAGAGCTGCGATCGCTTCAGTGGAACATGTGAACAGTAAGACAAATTAAAATTGGTTCCAATTCTAAAAAAAAAGTCATAGGGCTCTTAATACAAATTTATTCTAAAAAACACACCCCCCGGTTTCCTTTCCAGGCGATGGCTGGCTGTGAGCGAGAGGGGCAGGGGCCTGGGTGAGGAGCTGGGGAGGGGTCTGGAGGAGGCACCGGAGGTGTGGGCCAGACCCCCAGAGCAGGGAGGCCACGGGAGGGGCTCAGCGCCACACTAAGAGCAATGAGAAGCGTCACAGTTGAAACAGGAATTTATTCAGTTAAAAATG
Source organism: Homo sapiens (assembly GCF_000001405.40). NCBI lineage: Eukaryota > Metazoa > Chordata > Mammalia > Primates > Hominidae > Homo > Homo sapiens. The sequence goes on from NC_000006.12 coordinate 163,868,208, forward strand.
ACGGGAGTGAAATGGAAAAAAAATGTCTTTTAGGAAATGAGTGGGTGCAAGAACACCTCACCCAGAACTGGTCTTCAAAGCAAAATATGATATTGGAGCCTTGGCAAATCTGGTTAATTCTGATATCTGAATACTTGCACAAAGTACCAATTCTGTTAAAAATGACCAAAGAAAGCATTTCTGTTTCAGAGAGAAACAACGTAGATAGTTCCTTTGCATAATCTCTGTCTTCTGCTATTTTCCTCTTTGGGATTTCCTTTATGAGAAAACAAAATTATTTAGTTTCACATCGAACCTACTTATAGATGAGTAATTCTGAGGATGATATTTTGGCATTCATCTTTTTATTGTTACACTATTTCTGATATGAACGACACTTCAAGGTTTACACGTACATGCACAATACCTAGATATTTTTAGCCATATGTATATGACTCTAGATGTATTTAGCCATTAAATTTGGAAACCTGCAGGGCCTGAGGGGCTTCTATAGTTTACTTAGTCTTCTAAAAAAAAAAAAAGTATCACATGTTTTGTTTGAAGTATTTGCTTTCCATTTCTTTTCAGTGAAAATAACTATTTGACAAAAAAGTCATTTCATGTTTATATTTGTATAAAAATTATTAATAATAAAACAAAGGAAAATTTCTCCAGTGTAGTCTACAGGTAGCATTTCATAGGGTGGAAGTAGATGTTTTTCCTCTTTAGATTTTAAAGGGACTCATCTTTAGGCCAGGACAGCTTGAAATTTTGAAGACAACAAACTCTGAAAGTTTTAGCAAATGATAGGTGGAGAAGAAAACTGACATTTCTCACTTTATTTTTAATTAGTTAATTTTTTTGATTAAAGATTAGTTTAAAAATTAATTAATTTTTTTGCGACAAGGTCTGGTTTTGTCACCCAGGCTGGAATGCAGTGGCGCAATCACAGTTCACTACAGCCTCAACCTCCTGGGCTCAGGTGATCCTCCCACCTCAGCCTCCCGGGTAGCTGGGAATACAGGTGTGTGCCACCACGCCTGGCTGATTTTCTGTATTTTTTGTGGAAACAGGGTTTTACCATATTTCCCAGGTTGGTCTCGAATTCCTGGGCTCAAGCAATCTGCCTGCCTTGGCCTCCCAAAGTGCTGGGGTCACAGATGAGAGTCACCACACCCAACTACGTTTATCCCTTTAGGTCAGAGAATAGAAATTGGCAATGAGAAGCCGACAGATTGGACTTCTCCATCATGAGCCTTTTTATTGTCACCTATAACTTGTTCACCTTTGGAGAATTGAAGAAAATAAAATTAATTAGAGCTTTTTTTTTCCAGGATAGAATTTCTTTTTTGATGGTCCACTAATTTACATCCAGTTTTTAAGTTGGTTCTCTTCTCCCCTGAAGGAAACAGACATCTGGTCATGGAGAGGGGATATCTGCCCATGGAAAGGGGTTGAGTTAACCTAATTCTTCCTTTCCCTCCTTCCTGCCTCTATGCCCTGCCCTCCCCTCCCCCAATTTCTCTCTCTACCTGGAGAGGTGAGGTTAAATAGTTACCGTCCTCTTTTCTTTTTTGAGATGGAGTCCCTATGTCACCTAGTCTGGAGTCCAGTGGCGTGATCTCAGCTCACTGCAACCTCTGCCTCCCAGGTTCAAGCGATTCTTGTTCCTCATGCTCCCAAGTAGCTGGGATTATAGGCACCCGCCACCACACCTGGCTAATTTTTGTATTTTTAGTAGAGATGAGGTTTTACCATGTTGGCCAAGCTGGTCTCAAACTCCTGACCTCAAACGATCCACCTGCCTCTGCCTCCCAAAGTGCTGGGTTTGCAGGTGTGAGCCACTGCGCCTGGCCAATAGTTACCATCCTCTTATCCACTACAGAAAGAAATCAGTTCTGGGAAGCAATGAGGGTCTCCTACCACAGCCATGGTCAGATAGGTCACCCTGCCACAGCTGCTGGGACACAGAGCCTGGGGCAGGAAACCAGGTGTCCCCAGGTTGGTCTATGGGACAGTCTGAGAAGAAGTAGAGAAACCATTTTGAACCAGCATTAGTGGTGTGGTCCTGGTGGGGAGTGGCCTGTTGCAAGTGCCACTGTGAGGCGATGGCTGGACTGAGAACCAGATGTCACCTGATGCTTGGGAGATCTTTCAAGGCATATCACAGACTCAGCAGGCAACGCTTCCATGCCTGGGGCAGGTGGGGAATACATTGTCTGCCTTCAGGTGTGTCTTCCACCATTCTTCAGTAACAGATCCTCACATTCATGTGAAAGTGAACCCCTCTCAACAACCCCTCCATGCGATCTCAGTTGGCTCTGACCGTGGTTCCAGAAGGGGCACATGTGACCAGGCTTGAGCTGAGCACACAGCACGTTTTCCCATAATAACTGGCTTGGGGAAGGCATGTAATCTAAACTGATGCAATCACAGTGAATCTCCAGACTTTGGTTCCAGTGATCTCTGGACTCGAACTTGGATAGGTGTAAGAAACTGTAGACACATACTTGTCTCTACAAAAGGCCTACTGTCTGGGCGGGCATGGTGGTTCAAACCTGTAATCCCAGCACTTTGGAAGGCTGAGGTGGGAGGACTGCTTGAATCTGGAAGTTTGAGACCATCCTGGGCAACATCATGAGGCTCCATCTTTACAAAAATAAAATTATCTAGGCGTGATGGCACATGCATGTAGCCCCAGCTACTCTGGAGCCTGAGGTGGGAGGATCACTTGAGCTCAGGAGGTCGAGGCTGCAGTAAGCCATGATGGCGTCACTGCACTCCAGCCTGGGTGGGAGAGCAAGACCCTGTCAAAAAAATAACAACAAAAATAAAAACAAACAAACAACAACAACAACAAATCCAAGACCTACTGTCTGAGAAAGGTTCCCAGAGAGGAAATGGAGCCAAGAGCAAAAGGAAGAGAAAGTGAGTCTTGGTGTATTTAAGCCTCTGGCTCAAGTCATACCCCGAGCTTTTAACTTACATACATACGTGTTTAAACAACATTGGGTTGGATTTTCTGGCGACTGCATCCAAAGAGTATTCATTCATTCAGACTGAACCTTGAACAACACATATTATTGAAGGATTGAAGGCATCATTTTGTGGGGGCTTGTAGAGTATATATAAAGTAAAAGCTTATGGTTCCTATCTCAGGGGGTAGGGTTGCAGTCTAAACGATTGGAACTGATGTACACACGTCAGCCCATCAAATGGTTAACTCACTTTGGCTCCTCTGCTAGCTTTATGGAGATGAAGACTCAATGATTCTTTCCATCTTCTACATCCATCTTGCTGTCTGCAGTGATTGCTTTTGGCAAAGTTTAGGTCCATAAAATGCTTGTTGGCATAAAGCAACAATTTGTGGTAACGTGTTAGAGTAAGTGGCTAATCAGCATTTAACTTCTCTGTAGGAGAATTGATCACAGCAATATCGTTTTATTCTTAGAGCTTTCAACACTTCATGAAATTTTGCCAATGTATACCAAGTTTTTTTTTTTCTAAAATGCAAAGTGTGAGGGAGGCAGACAGGTTATAGGGTGTGATGGGTAAGATCATGGTTCAAATCTTAAGTCTACTCTTTTCTAATGATGAGACTTTGGCAAGAACACTTAATCTCCCTGGGTTTCAGTTTCTTCATATGAAAATGAGGCCAATAATTCTCATCTCACAGATGTAGTTTGTGTAAGGATGAAAGGCTTTCAGGCATGTAGGTCTTTAGCAAAGCATCTCACATGTAGTAATTTCATAAACTGTGGACTAAATTTTGATAGAACTAGGCCAGCTTTGGAATCCTAATGGGGATGGCTTTTAACATTATAAAATATGTCATCAACTGCTTTTTCTTTTTATATAATCTTTTAATAAATCACTTTTAAGTTGGAACAAGATTGCTTATATGGATTTGTCAATTAGGCTTTACTTATTTAAAATGATAAAATAAAACCTTTTAATATGCAAATGTGTGCAGTATAAAACATGTAGAGACAGTTCCCTCAAATACCCACCCCTTTCCCTTTCCATATTTCACATGTAGCAATATTAGTAGTTGGGGTGAATTCACCTTGATATTCTCGGATGAAGTTGAGCGTATGGGTGCTTACATGAGCGTTCAGGTATGTGAGTATGTGTATCTTTCTAAATATGTGGTTTTGCAACTGTGTTTTTCCCCAAATAGTATGTCATGGGCTTTTATAAAAATAGAACAAATATAGGCACATTTAGGTATTTTTATTTTGTTGAAATTTACAACGAAGATGTCATGGCTTCCGGCAGATTCCCACGTTTGCCAGCAGCAGATATATCATCCTGAGAACTTGGATCATCTCTGATGTTGAGCAATTTGCCAACATTCATGACCAGTTAAGTAGATTTAAATGCGTAATTGCCTCATGCTTAGGAATGCGTATTTCAGTTTAAAGATAACGTCTTAACTTCCCAAGAGTAATCTATAAAAGCATACATCTCATATTTCAGATTTTGGAAAACATTCTTTTTCCTTTTGTTTTGCCTGTGTTCAGGAGAACACTAGTCTGTTGCAGGACTTTTTTTCTACTTTTATAAGCCACAGAAATGCATATTAAAAACAAAACAAACAGAAAAAGCAGGATTTCACCTAGAGGTTTAAAATAAAGTTACCATATTACAGACTTGGAAAATGGTAATGAAGAGAAATTTATATTGGTTTCTAGCCAAAATTCTATGTTTAGGAAGATGGGGAAGTGCCAAAATTAGTAATAGCTGATTCAATATTGTAAAATTCTAATTGAAAATAAATACCAAATTTTATACTTCAGAAAATCCTTAGAGTTTTTCTACTCAAACCTGCTCTATTTATGTTGGAAAAATTAAAGAGATCCGAAGAGGTTACATCACTTGCCTAAGAGTCACATGGTTAATTACTGATACAATTAACATTAAAGTCTAGATTTCAAGGATAGTAAGGATGATGGTGATGGCACTATAAATAAATTAGAGGGTCCACTATTACTGTACACTCATCATTGTTCAAGACTTTATATTTTCTTTTCATAGATACTTTGAAAATTTGATCTTATTCTCCTGTATTTTTTTCTTTTTTTTTTTTGAGACAGAGTCTCGCTCTATTGCCAGGCTGGAATGCAGTGGTGCGATTTCTGCTCCCTGCAACCCCCACCTCCTGGGTTCAAGTGATTCTTCTGCCCCAGCCTCCCAAGTAGCTGGGATTACAGGGGTACACCACCATGCCCAGCTACTTTTTGTATTTTTAGTAGTGATAGGGTTTCACCATGTTGGCCAGGATGGTCTCCATCTTTTGACCTTGTGATACACCCGCCTCGGCCTCCTAAAGTGCTGGGATTACAGGCATGAGCCACTACACTTGGCCTTATTCCCCTATTTTCAGAGTAGGAAGCTGATGATCAGATACATATGTCATGTGCAGTGTTACCCGACTAGTGTTGGATTTGAACTGGAGTCTGACTTTCAAACGTGAGCTCCTTTCAGAAAATGCACTTTATATGTGTGTGTAAGAAGGGTGCGGCCGCAGTGTAATACAATATTTTTTCTACTTTATCTTGTTGCTACAGTCGCTATCCACAAATGTGACCATTTCATGTTGTGGTGTGAAGGCTTGCAGCTTTCATGACTCACATGGTCCTCAATTGCATCTAGAACCAAATATTCTGCCATAAGATGAAAACAAACATGTAATTCAGAGATACAGAAGGAAGGAATTTGGATTCAGAAGTAGTATCTTAGAAAATTTAAGATGAACATGTAGTAACTTCACACAAAAGTGTCTGAAATAGAACTCTTTTAGTGAAATACTCCGCAGAGCGGGTTGGGCCCAGAGCTTCCCGGATCAAAATCTCATCTCATCATGCATCCCTGCCTGCTCACCCATTTGCCCTTTCTTCTGCTTTTCTCCACTCCCTTAAGCCTCCATCCCTTCACATTCCCTCCTCCTTTACTCTTAGTAGTTATCACAGAGGAAAGAGGACATGAGAAATAGCTAATCTTGCCACTTTAGGGACAAAATGCCCCCTCCCTTCCTAACAACCGAAGAGAGGTCTTTCTCTAGGGCTGGTCCCCACCTCCTTCTCAGAGATCTCAATCTAACTGTTATGTCTTTGCTTGCCCATATTTTCACAATTTCTTTCTGCAGGATTTAAAGCTGTTCAAGTCTCTTCCATCTTAGAACATAACCCTGCTGCGGACCTGTATTAGTCTCTTCTCACGCTGCTGTAAGAAACTGCCCGAGACTGAGTAATTTATAAAGGAAAGAGGGTTAATTGACTCACAGTTCCCCATGGGTGGGGAGGCCTCAAGGAACTTACAATGGTGGAAGGCACCTCTTCACAGGGCTGCAGGATGGTCAAGGGCCAGCAGGGGAAATGTCAGATGCTTATAAAACCATCAGATTTTGTGAGACTCACTCACTGTCATGAGAACAGCATGGGGGAAACTGCCCCCATGATTCAATCACCTCCCACCAGCTCCCTCCCATGATGCATGGGGATTATGGGAACCACAATTTAAGATGAGATTTGGGTGGGGACACAGTGAAACCATACCAGGACCCAAATCCCCCTCCTGCAGCCCTGTGCCCCTTTCCATCCACAGCAAATCACAGGAGGGGAGGGTGCACACATGCCTTGGCCCTCTCCCTCGCCACTCCATGGCATACTGCAGTCAAGTTTTCATCTCCCTCACAGCCAATCTCCCCAGTTCCACTGAAACTCATCTCTGGAAAGATGCTAGTACAGCCTCCTTCCTGCTAATGCAAACAGTGCTTCTCCATCCTTACTGGATTTCCCTCTTGGCAGCAGTAAACACTGTGCAGCATTTGAATTCTTGAGTCACTCCCTTCTGTCTGCTTCCATTGGGCCACTTTCTTCTGGTTTTCTTCCTGCAAGTGTGGAAGTGCCTCTGGAGTCATTATTTTCTTCCTCTGCCTCACTTCTGGATGCACGCACCATGTGTGCCTGCAGGCCCCTGATACCCGCTCTTTACTTCTTTCTGTCACTCCCATGCCTCAAAGACTGTCTCTACTTTCTGATAACTCCCAAATCCACTGTCTCCCAATTGGCCTCTCTCTTAGAGCAAGGCACCGGAACCTGATGCCCAGTGGATGTCTCTACTTGGAGAATATCCCACAGATTTCCTAAATCAGGACGTCCCCAACTGCTGTTCCTCCAGTTCCCTTCTCAAATGAAGCACCAGGGTCCAGAGCTTCACCCTCTGCAAGGCCAATCAATGTCAATTCCTTAATATCTATAAATCCAGCTCAATTCTCTGTTTCCTTTTTCTCTACTGTAGTTCAGATAGCCATCATCTCTATTTGTTTTCTCATGAGAAAGAAATGTTCAAACCATTTTCATTATAAAAATATAACTTACATACAAGAAAGTATATAAAACAAAAATGTAAGGCCAGGCTGGGCACAGTGGCTGACACTGTAATCCCAGCACTTTGGGATGCCAAGGCAGGCAGATCACCTGAAGTCACGAGTTTGAGACCATCCTGGCCAACATGGTGAAACCCTGTCTCTCCTAAAAATACAAAAATTAGCTGGGTGTAGTGGCACGCACCTGTAATCTCAGCTACTCAGGAGGCTGAGGCAGGAGAATCGCTTGAACCTGGGAGGTGGAGGTTGCATTGAGGCAAGATCACACTACTGCACTCTAGCCTGGGTGACAAGAATGAAACTTCATCTCAAAAAAAAAAAAAAAACTAAGGCCAAATAAATTACCATAAAGTAAGCATGTTTGTAATCGTAACTTAGACCCAGGAACTGAACACTGCCTGAGGCCGTCTCACTGAACCCTTTATTATCTGCCCTTATGTCATTTCCTTCTTTCTGTAGGGTTTGTGTATAGCTTGTGTTTTTCTAACTTCCTGGAACTGGAAGTTTAGCCCACGATGTTTTGCAGTCTTCCTTCTTTTTCCTAGTGTTTGTGCTTTGTAGTTACAAAGGAATTATTTGGAGGTTTTTCTGAATTTATAAAAGATGGAGAATTATCTTTTTTACGACTGGTTTCTAACTTATCTTGTCATGAGAGCCCAAGTGTTGTATGATTTCAATCCTATGAGTTTTTGAGACTTGCTTTATGAGGTGGGATGTGGTCAGTTTTTGCAGATGTTCTCTTTATGCTTGAAAATAATGTGCATTCTGCAGATGTTGAATTCAATAATCTAGATATGTGTCCATTAGGCCAATTTGCTAATTGAGGAGTTCAAACTATATTGCACTGATTTTTCTGGTCTGCTTCTCCTAGTGGGTATTGAAAGAGGTGAGTTACAATCTCCCACTATGCTTGTGGATTTGGCCCCACTGTCATCCCTTATCTAAACACGATTGGTCCATCTGTTCTCCCTGACTCTGCTTGAGCCTCCACATGGAGCTGCATTGTCGTTCTGAAATACAAATGAGTCAGACCATTCCGCAGCTTAATTCCCCTCATTCAGGAAAGAATTCCTTAATGCCCAGGATGTATCAGGCACTGTTCCAGGTCTTAGGGATGTAGTTGTGAACCAAAAAGACAGTGTCTAAGCTGTCACAGAACTTACAAGTGGATACACAATAGAAAGACAGATAGATAGATAGATAGATAGATAGATAGATAGATACATACATACATACATACATACATACATACATACATAGATGGCTTCCTTTGTTGTTAGCAGGGTTAAGTTCTTAAGCTTATAATAAGTATTGGTCCTATTTGTTCCCTAATTACATCCACAGGCTTTTATTCTACTTAACGTCAGTTGTTTAAAGAGAATGACCCACTTTCAGTCCCTCCCAGGCCCTGTGCTGTCTTACCCTGCAGTGTGTGCACGTGTGATTTCCACTGCCCAGTCCACGCTTCCCCATCTTGTTTCCAGGCTCCTTCACACTCATGCTTCACGTCTCAGCTTAGATATTCTTTCACTAAAGAGGCCTTCCTGACCCTGTTGTCCATGTTAAGCACCTTGCTTATGAGCTCATAGAGTCCTCTGTCTTTCTGTACAACACATCACTTTATCTGAGCCCCTCACTAGTTTGTAGACTCTATGCAGTAAGGATTGTGCCTATCTCTTCCATTCTGGAATCCACAAGACACAGCATTGTCAGGAACTATATCTTGAAAGTTTGTTACATGCACATGTAGTTAAGAATGTTTCACTGCAAGGTATTATTGTTTAATATATGCTCTTAATACTTCTTAATTTTTGATATTGGAAAGTGACAGAGTTTGGGGCACATCCGTCCAGGCATTGATTCTGAGAACATTTGGATTTTTTGAGGTAGTCCGCGGATTTCTAGCACGTAGTTAATCTCTTCTTTTTGCAAAAAATCTCCTTCCTCTCCCCACCAATAATGCACATAAATGATCCAATCAAAAGGTCTTCAGAAGGTTACAAAAGGAGTTTGGTGATGGACACCTAAAAAATAAAGCAAAGCAGAAGAATCTTCTGTCATTGTGTTTTTAGAGACTTAGAGACCTTCATTGTTAATGACATTTGCATGTTCATTGTTTCAGATTTCACTAGGGACAATAATAATATGTATCTTAAACATTTAAATAGTCCGTGTGTAAAGGATTGGCTTATCAGCTTTCTGTACTTCAATTCTAGTTATCTTATAAGATAACTAGACTTTTCTAAGTTTCAGGAAATGAGGAAGACACATTTTCCTTCCCCCACCCCTGTAGCTAGAGTTGATGTGCCTCCCAGGTAAGAAGACCCACCCCTGCCTTGGCAGCCCCACCTTGGGTTTCCGCAATGAATGTTCACCATGCACAGCCCTCCCCAGCAGCATCAGTAAGTTCTGGCATGGGGCGGAGTTGGAGACTTCTCTGCCACTCTTCAGTATTCCTGTGAGCTCTGGAGAAACCTGCACACGCAGAGCGTGTGGTCTGGCCTTGGGGATTGTCTTGTCACGTGGCCTCATGCAACCGTGTTATCATGAGCCCTTCTCGTGTTTGCTGGGCTTTCTTTCACACTTTCTCCCGTCTTTTAATTTTATTTTTGACTATTGGAAAATCTGGTAGTATCTCAAAAAGGGCAACTTTGCAGTGAATTAATTTGTTATTTTAGTATCTGTAAGAAGTTAACAGAAATGCAAGTAGGAGGTGTCACTATTTTGCTTATGGTATGGATTTGATGATGCGCAGAAGCAAGTCTGACACTCCCAGGATCTTCACACGTCCACTGCACACCGCCAGCTTGCAGTTTCCACGGACATGCTCTTCAGCATTTGGCATAATTGGGAACAGTAGCCAGCGGGTATCAAATGTCAAGATAAATTGTCTACTGCTGTGTGAGCCCTGACTATGAAATTGATTCGCTATCTTTTGGGGACTGTAGTTTTGTAATAAGAACAATATAAACTTTAAAACCAATACATTTATTAGTTATGCAGGTGCTGTTCAAGTGCAAGATCAACAACTTCGGGCTATTTTGATGGATCTGTTCATTTCTGATGTGGTGAGGACCATTTCCAATGTCTTTAAAGATTAGAATTGTCTGAATCTTTACTCACATTTTTCAGAAACTGTGCCAGTTAGCCTTTGCTATGTAACAACCTACCCTAAAACAGTGCGTTGAAACAACAACTGTTTAGCTCATGGTTCAGTGGGCTGGACATTGGTGCTAGGCTCAGCTTGGCTGATTTTCTAGCTTCAGCTGTATTTAGTTTCAGCTGTGTTTGCCATGCAGCTAACTCTGGGATCAGTTTGGGGCAGCTGGCCTAGGATGGCTTCAGCTGAAATGGCTCATCTCTGCTTTTTGGCATCTCTCATTTTCTAGCAGGCTAGGTTGGGCTTGTTCACATGGTGGCTGGACATGGTGGTTCTAAGAGAATGAGTGAAATCACATAAAGCATCTTGAAGCCTAGAGTTGAAACGAATATGTTGTCATTTCTGTTGATTGTATTGGCCAAAGCAAGTCACAGGGCCAGCTTCAATTTAAGAGAAGGGGAATAGACTCCACTCCCTGACTAAAGGAGCTGCAAAGTCACATTTTAAGGGCATGGAAAAACATTTTTTAAAAGTGGAAAGATACAAGAAGGAGTGAAGGATTTGGATATCTTTGTGATTGACCACAGAGATAAATAAAACAGTTGTAATATGTAGACTTCAAGGTAAAGATGGTAAGTTGAATAAATACATTTGCTTTTGATACCTCCTAAATCCCCACTAAAATGACAAAGCATAAGTGCACAAGGACAGACAGAAAAAGAAAGGGGGGAAATTAACAAATTTTCAAAGCTAGAAACAAATGAGTGAGTGGTAGCAGAAATGAACAAAACTGATTTCTAAGCCAGCAGTAGGGAAAATCAGAAAAATCCATGATTTATAACACAGAATTACCAGCTTTTTAGGATTTAGAGATAGCATGGCCCTCTAATAATGGATACAATGTGGGAGAACAATCAGGAAGTTGAGTTTGAGGTCTGATTCAGAAATGACTGCATTCCTAGATTCCCTCTCCACGACCATGGAAGACTGGAGAGAAAGGGTGTTCTCTGGAAAGGTCACAACAGAGAGTCTTTGGACTTTCAGCAGTGTCAGGCACAGAAGGATCAGATGCCATTGAAAACAACAGGATTAAATAAAAATGAGCATATAGAATGTGTAGAGCCCCAGGACCTTTTCCTCACTTGAGTTCCAGAATAATGGCAGATACCAGACTTGTAAACTCTAGTACAGAAGATCCTTCAGTGGAGAATCAGATCAGCCCCAGAGAAAAGACCAAAAAATACTGACATCAAAGTTCTTCCATGAGCAGACCCAACCACTCACACACTCAAGGCTACCATTCAGTTTTTCACAGCCCACTCTTAAATATAAGCAGACAACCAAGGATTATTAGATATCTTAGGAAGTCTGTAATATGAAAGATAGAGATCAAGATAACAAACAAAACCAATCAAAGAAAACATAAATTCTATAGGGGAAAAATACTTAAAAAGCCACACACACACAAAACCATCATTACTATCTTCTGAGTAATGAAAAAATTGCATACATTCAGGAAGAAGAATGTGCTATTGAAAAAAGATATATAAAAAAACTTTTAGAACTGATAAATGAATTCATTTAAGTTACAGGATAGAAAATCAACATACAAAACTCAGTAGCATTTTCTATGCACAAATAATAAACTAACTGAAAAAGAAATCAAGAAAGCAATCCCATTTACAATAATTACAAAAAAATTTGCTTAGGAATAAATTTAACCAAGGAGATGAAAGATCTCTACAAGGAAAATTATAAAATATGTGGTGAAAAAAATGGATTAAGACACACAAAATGGAAAGACATCCTATGTTCATAAACTGAGAATTTTAATATTGTTAAACATACTACCCACAGTAATCTACAGATTCAAGGCAATCTCTATCAAAATACCAATGGCATTCTTCACAGAAATAGAAAAAAATTCTAAATTTAGTATGGAACCACAAAAAATTCTGAACAGCCAAAGCAATCCTGAACAAAAAGAACAAAGCTGCAGGTACCACATTACCAGATTTCAAAATATAATACAAAGTTTTAGTAACCAAAACAGCATGCTACTGGCATAAAAATAGATACATAGTCCAATGAAACAGAATAGAGACCTCAGAAATTAAACCACATATCTACAGCCAATTGATTTTTGCCAAAGGACCAAGGACATTCATTGGTGAAAGGACAGTCTTTTCAATAAATAGTGCTGAGAAAAATGGGTATCTATTTGCAGAAGAATGAAAATAGAACCTCGCCACTCACCCTTTACAGAAATCGACTCAAAATGGAATAAAAACCTAAATGTAAGCCCCAAAACTGTAAAACTTCTAAAAGAAAACATATATGCACCCAACACTGGCGCACCCAGATAGAAAAAACAAATATTATTATATGTAAAGGGAAAGATAGAATCCAATATAATAATAGTTGGGGACTTCAACACCCCACTCTCAACCTTACATAGATCATCTAGACATAAAATTAACAACAAAAACATTATATTTAAACTGCACATTACCCCAAATGGACCTAACAGACATTTAAAGAACAGTTCATCCAATAGCTACTGAATACACATTCTTCTCATAATTACATGGAACATTCTCCAGGATAGACCATACGTTAGGACAAAAACAAGTCTCAAGAAATTTTTAAAAATCAAAATCGTATCAAGTATCTTCTTGGACCACAGTGGAGTGTAACTAGATGTTAATAACAAGAGGAACTTTGGAAACTGTGCAAACACATGGATGTTAAATAAAATGCTTCCGAATGACCACTGGGTCAAGGAAGAAATTAGGGAGGACATAAAACAATTTCTTGAAATAAAAAAACCCAGCATACCAAAAGCTATGGGATACAGCAATAGCAGTGCTATGAGAGAAGTTTATAGCAGTAAAAACCTGGATCAAAAGAGCAGAAAACTTTCAAATAAAAAATCTTATGATATACCTCAAGGAAATAGAAAAGCAAGAATAAATCCAGCCCAAAATTAGTAGAAAGAAAGAAAGAATAAAGATCAGAGCAGAACTAAACAAAATAGAGACCAAAAATGATACAAAGGATCAATGAAGCAAAAAGTTGTTTTTTTGAAAAAATAAACAAAATCGATAATCTACCTGCTAGAATAGCCAAGAAAAAAAAGACAGAAGGCCCAAATAAAAAAATTAGAAATGAAAAAAGGAGACATTACAGCTGATACCACAGAAATACGAAAGATCAGAGACTATTGTGAATTATATACTCACACTGGAAAACCTAGAGGAAATGGATACGTTTCTGACACATACAACCTACCAAGATTGAATCAAGAAGAAATAGAAAACCTGAACAAACCAATAATGAGTAATGAGATTGAATCAGTAATAAAACATTTCCCAACCAAAAAAAAAGAAGTCCAGGACCAGATACTTTCACTGCCAAACTCTGTGAAACATTCAAAAAAGAACGAATACCAATTATCCCAAAACTACTCCTAACAATTGAAGAGGAGAAAATTCTCCATAATGCATTCTATAAGGCCAGCATTATCCTAATACAAAAGCAGACAAGGAAGCAAGAACAAAAGAAAACTAAAGGCTAAAGTTCCTAATGAGTAGATGGAAAAATCCTTAACAAAATACTAGAAAATCCAATGCAACAGCACATGAAAAAGATAACGCACTATGATGAAATGGGATTTATGCCAGGGCTGCAAGGGTGATTTAACATAGGCAAATCAATAAACGTGATACATCACATCAACAGAATAAAGGACGAAAACCATACAACCATCTCAATAGACCCAAAAAAAGAATTTCATAAAATTTAACATCCCTTTAGGATACAAACTCTCAACAAACTAGGAAGAGAAAGAAGATATCTCAACATAATAAAGGCCATATATGACAAACCCACAGCTAACATCATACTGAATAGGGAAACGCCTTTCTGGTAAGAGCTGGAACAAGACAAGGATATCAAGAATGCCCAGTTTCACCACTCCTATTCAACATATTATTAGAAGTCCTAGCCAGGGCAAGCGGGCAAGAGAAAGAAATAAAAGGTATCCAGATTGGAAAATAGGAAGTGAAATTGTCGCTCTTTGCTGATGACAAGATCTTGTATCTAGAAAACCCAAAGACTCCACCACAATAAACATTCAGCAAAGTTACTGGATACAAAGACAATATACAGAAACCAGTAGCATTTCTGTATACCAATAATGAACTAACTGAGAAAGAAATCAAGAAGGCAATCCCAATTATAATAGCTACCAAAAAATTAACTAGGAACATATCTAACAAGGAGGTGAATGATTTCTATAAGGAAAACTATAAAACACAAATGAAAGATATTGAAGGGGACATAAATAAATGGGAAGACACCTCATGCTTATAGATTGAAAAAATTAATGTCATTAAAATGACTATACTGTTCAAAGCAGTCTACAGATTCAATGAAATCCCTACCAAAATACCAACATCATTTTTCACAGAAATAGAAAAAAAATCCTAAAATTTGTATGGAACCACAAAAAAGCCTGAATAGCCAAAGCAGTCCTGAGCAAAAAGAACAAAGCTGGAGGTATTACACTATCTGACTTCAAAATATATGGCTGTTGTAACCAAAACAGCATGGTATTGATATAAAAACAAACCCATAAACCAATGGAACAGAATGGAAAACCCAAAAATAAATTCACATATTTACAGTCAACTGATTTTTGACAGGGTACCAAGAACATATATTGGGGAAAGGCACCCAATAAAAGGTGTCAGAATAACTGGATATCTACATGGAAAAGAATAAAATGGGACCCCTATCTCTCATTATATTGGAAAAAATCAACTCAAGATGAGTTAAAGACTTAAACATAATACCTGAAACCATAAAACTACTAGAAGGAAACAGGGAAAACAGTTCAAGACATTAGTTTAGGCAAAGATTTTATGGCTAAAACCTCAAAAACACAGACAGCAAAAACAAAAATAGACAAATGGGATTATATTAAACTAAAAAGCTTCTGCACAGCAAAGGAAGCAATCAGTGAGTGAATAGAAACCATACTGAATCAGAGAAAATGTTTGCGAACTATTCATTTGACAAGGAACTAATATCCAAAATATACAAGGAACTCAAACAGTAGAAAAAACAAACAAACAAACAAACAAAACCTCAAAAAACCAAACCAATAATTATTCAAAGAGGGCAAAAGATATGAATATACATGTCTCAGAAGAAGATGTACAAAATGGCCATAGGTATATGAAAAAATGCTCAACATCACTAATCATCAGGGAAATGCAAATCAACACCACAGTGAGATATGATGTTACTCCAGTTAAAATGGCTATTAGGAAAAAGATTAAAAGAGAAAAACAGATGTTGGTGAGGATGTGGAGAAAAGGGAACTCTTGTATACTGTTGGTGGGAATGTAAACTAGCACATCCACTATGGAGAGCAATACAGAGTTTCCTCAAAAAGCTTCAGAGAGAATGATTTGGTAATCCCACTACTTGGCATTTATCCAAAGCAACTGAAGTCAGTATATTGAGACATCTGCACCCTCATGTTTACTGCAGCAGTATTCACAGTAGCCAAGATTTAGAGTCAACCCAAGGGTCCAAAAACAGATAATTGGATTTTAAAATGTGGTATTTATACACAACGGAATACCATTCAGCCTTAAAGAAGTACGAAATCCTGTCATTTGTGACAACACGGATGAAACTGGAGGACCTTATGGTAAGTGAAATAAGGAACAGGAATTTAAAAACTGCATGTTTTCACTGATATGTGGAAGTTAAAAAAAGTTGGTCTCATAGAAGTAAAAAGTAGAGCAGAGGTTACTGGAGGCTGGGAAGGGTAAAGGAAAGGTGAGATAGGAAGAGATTTGTTAAAGGATACAAAATTACAGCTGGATAGGAGGAATGACTTCTAGTGTTCTATACCACTGTACCTTGAGGAGAGTTAACAATAATGTATTACATAGTTGCAAATAGCTAGAAGGAGGATATTGAAGTTCTCAACACAAAGAAATGATAAATGTTGGAGATGATGGGTATGCTAATTACTCTGATCTGATTGCTATACATTGTGTGTACTGAAACATCACTATGTACCACATAAATATGTGCAATTATTATGTGTCAATTTAAAAAGTATACTCAGGAAATGAAAATGTGCTCTTAAAATTAAAATATGATAGTAACAATAAGAAAGTGAATAAGGTGGATGGAAGATAAAGTTGAAGAGCTATCCCAGAAAGTAAAACAAAAGATGAGGTGATGGAAAGTAGGAGAAAAAATATAAGAGAATCAGAAAAACCAGTCGGGGAAGTCAAACATCTTAATAAGAGAGGTTATGGAGAGAAAGCACAGGGAAAACAGAACATAGAAATCATTATTGAAATAAATCAAGAAAATTTCCCAGAACTGATGATAATGAATTTCCATGTTGAAAGGTCAATTTAAGAAAAAACAGAAAACCTCAGCACAGTGAATTAAAGTAGACCCACATTAAATTACATCGTCATGCTATTTTGGAATATTTTGGGCAAAGAAAATATTCTTTAAGCTTCTGAGAGAAATATAGGTGTCATCAAAATGATTAAGAATCAGAAAAACTTTGGACTTCTCAATAGCTGTATCAGATGTTTGAAGACCGTGTAATAATGGCTTCAGAGTTCTGAAGAAAAATGATCTCTAGCCTCATGTTATGCTCAGTTCAATTCTTAATCAAATGTGCATGGAGAAGAAAGACACTTTCACACATGCAGTTTCTCAAAAGGTTTACCTCCCACACAGCCTTTCCCAGGAAGTCACTGGAGGATATGTTCCATCAAAATGAGGAAGAAAACCAAGAAATGAGAAGACTTGGGATAAAGAAAATAATAAATACAATGTAGAAGAGAGGCAAAGTGGATCCCCAGGATGAAGGCATGGGTGATCTCAATATAACATATGTGCAGCTAGCATGAGGTCACAATTCCAAATTGGAGCAGGAAGGGGGAGAACACTTTAAAAAAATGAATATATAATGAAAACATAGCAATACAGACATGTCATTTAGAAATACAGATGTAAATATCAAAAGACAGCAAAAGTGGTTGAGTGGTTTCCTAGGAGACAGGAAAAATGGAGATGGAGAATGCTGCTGTATTTTTAATGAATTTGAGGGCTCCTTGACTCTTTATGTGTATGCACCATGTTTGTGTATAATTTTAATAAAATATAAATCTTTACAAATGTTAAGGACAAATGCATTATCTTTTAGGTATCAGAGTGTATTTGAATAGGGCTGAAGAAGACAAGTAGGTCACAAAATATCCAAATCCATTCCATTGACCTACTCGGAGGAAACAGGACCAATTTAAAAAGTATCAGGAAAGCAATGTCCCAGACCCAAATGTCTCTTCCAGTTAGACTGGGGAGGATAGGTAAAGATGAGCCGAGGTAAACAGACTCGTTTATTTCTGTGTTTTGGTGCAGAGAATTCCATTTATAATTGGCTGAAACCTGAGTCTATCCTTCAGGCTGATTAAGTCAAATCGGGATGTTTGTCAGTGTTCCTTGAGGCCAAATCTGTTTATAATGTAGTATTTCATCTACCCTCTGATGCAATGTCCACTGTGGTAGACCGAAAAGGTTGTTAGTTTCTTGAGAAGAGGTTCCTTGCTAGTATTACAATAACTAGAGACCAAAATATATGGATGTGAAATAAAACTAATATAGCTACCTTTTCAAAAACCTGTAGCTGGCATCTAAGAATATGGGAAACATTACAAGAAAAATAATTTTGAGCACAAATACACAGTTTGAAAAAAAAATTATTTTACTTTTTACTAATAACATGTATTGTTTTCAGTATATATTATTGTTCTTAGTGGTATTACTCAGATATGGACAGACACATTTTCAATCTGAAAATGTTGATGAGTAAGCAAATATTTTTAGCATTTTAAATCATGGGATTTGGTTATATACAACAGTCTGTAAGCTACATATGTTCATGTAGCTATTTTATTTTTAAATCTTGCACATGAGTAATTCATCTTCTGTGAGGAAATTCAAAATAGTAATCAAGCTTGAGCTCAGTCAGCCACATGGCTCTTAGAGAGGGTTGCCATCTCCGTAGGACCTTCCCAGGGTCACCTTCATGGCTGTGGTCTGGGGTCAGACCCTAGGCTTGAAGGCTCAGAAACCTGTCATACTGGCACATAAACAGTTGTCATATTTCAAGGGCAGAGGCCAACTTACCAAACCATGAGAGTAGGTGCAAAATCTAAAGGCCAATGTACAACAAAGAATTAAATAATTCAATGGTAACACTGATATTTTCATGTTGGTAAAGATGGAGTAAGAGGGATCCAATTTTCTCCCATGAAAGAAACTAAAAAACTAGGAAAGATATGTGAAACAATGGTTTTCCAGTACAGGTTGAGCACCCCAAATTTGAAGATCCAAAATCTAAAATGCTCCAGAATCCAAGACTTTTTGAGCACTTATGTGACATTCAAATGTACTGCCCATTGGAGCATTTTGAATTTTAGCTTTTCAAATTAGGAATATTCAGTCTGTAAGTATAATGCAAATATTTCAGAATCTGAAAAAATGTGAAATCCCAAACACTTCTGGTCCTAAGCATTTTGGATAATGGATACTCAACCTGTGTTAGACATTAGGGAGTACAGAACAGTGATTCCTGAGAAAGAGACAACAAACATGAACAGTCCAGTGATTAAATTCTGGTTACTACACAAAGAGAGTTTCCAGGCCACTGCAAAGGGAGAGGAAATCAAGTTGGAGTAGGAAAACTTCCTGTGTTGAGGAAATGAAACCAGGAGTCCAGGTAGACCAAGATAGCTAGAGTTCAAAGAACAGAGGACTGGATAGCAGAAAGTTGCATATAGAGAGTTCCAGAGATCAACAGATGATCCCTGGTCAGTCTTCTACTAAATGCTTGTCAGCATATATGTGTGAGGAAATTATTGAAAGCTGTAAGAATAACCACCTGAACGGACAAAAGGGAACAATTCTCACAGCCCATTTAGGGCTGAGAATAGGGCTGTTCACACCAGGCAGACTGGAAAACCTTAGAATTCACAGGGCATTGAATAGGGTACTCAGAAGGACTAGATTAAAAATGTTCTGTTACTCCCTAACAAAGTATAAAAGCAAGGTTAAAAAGAATCAAACAATTGCCAAATAATTTAAATGCATCTTAGCACAAAGCTCAAGATATTTATAGGAATACAAAAAAAAATACAGCATACAACAAAGTAAAATTTACAAAATCTTTTGGCATCTAATAAAAAGATTACAAGCATGCAGAGAAGCAGGAAAATACAGTCCTCATGGGGGAAAAGGGAAGTAAAACAATCATTCTAATTATTTCACATGTGTTTAGTAGAGGAAAGTTAAGCATGCTAAGTAGAGATATGGGAGATACAAAAAAAGACCCAGATTGAACTTCTTGAAACATACAATGTTGGGAATGATAAATACACTAGGTATGATTTACAGCAAAGTAAACACCACAGGGAAGAAGATTAGCAAACTTAAAGACACAGCAATAGAAACTACTCAAAATGAAACAAAAAGAAAAAACAAAACAGAACAAAACCCCCCCAAAATTAGCAGATCAGTGAGCTGTGAAAATGTGGGACAACTTTTAAGTGTCCTAATACATGTGTAATTTAATTGGCATCTCCCAGTGATGGGATGGGGGCAAAAATATTTGAAGAAGTAGGAATGAGAATTTTCAAATTTGAGTAAAACCATAAGCACACAGATCCAAGAATCTCAATATATTCCAGACAGAAGAAATGTGAAGAAAACTGCATCAAGGCATCATTACTAAACTGTTTAAAATAAGTAATAAAGACACAATTTTAAAAGCAGTTAGAGAGAAAAAAAAGACAATACATAGAGGAACGCTACCAAGAATAACAACAGATTTCTTGCCAGAAACAGTGCAAGCCAGAAGACAGTGGAGGAGTATTTTTAAATTACTGAAAGGAGACAAACAAACAAACAAATCTCTAAATGTCAAATTCTATGCTGAGCAAAATATTTTTCAAAAGCAAGGGCAAAATAAAATATTTTGTAATTAGTCAAAAACTAAAAGAATTAGTCGGCAGCAGACTTGCATTACAAGAAATATGAAGGAAGACCTTTAAGCAAAAGGAAAATGATAGTAGATAAAAATCCATAAACACAAAGATCTGCAGAAAGAGATGAAGAGCACCAGAAATGCTAAACATCTGGGTAAATATAAACGACTTTTTAGATGTTAAATTTTTTTTTAAAGAGAATTAAGTGCTTTAAGTAAATAAATAATAACATATGTATTCAGGTTTAGAAAATGACATGCTGGTAAATGCTTAACAGTTTAATTTCCAGCAAAAAAAAAAAAAGCCTCAATTTGTAGCATTTGCCTAAAATAATTTCAAGTTAACAAACCGAAGGTAAATTTGGGAAGAGATACACACAATTAACTTTCAAGACATGGCAACAAGTGAGTTTATAAAACATGTAGACAAAAATAGAACAAAGACTGGGAGGGGAGAAATGGAAGTATACTATTTGTAAAGTTCTAATACTAAATCTGAATCTGAAGTGGTATAATATTATTTGAATATAGACTGTAATTACATACAGATGTTAACACTAAAGCAACCAATAGATAACAAAACAGAGTTATAGCTAATACACCAACAAAGACTTAAGATTCAATCAGAAAGCAATAAGCCTACATGTTTTTATAGATGAGTTTTTTGTTTGTTTGTTTGTTTGTTTGTTTTGAGATGGAGTCTTGCTCTGTCATCAGGCTGGAGTGCAGTGGCGCGATTTCAGTTCACTGCAACCTCTGCCTCCTGGGTTCAAGTGATTCCCCTGCCTCAGCCTCACAAGTAGCTGGGATATCAGGCACGTGCCACCACGCCTGGCTAATTTTTTGTGTTTTAGTAGAAACGGGGTTTCACCATGTTGGCCAAGATGGTCTTGATCTCTGACCTCATGATCCGCCTGCCTTGGCCTCCCAAAGTGCTGGGATTACAGGTGTGAGCTACTGTGCCCGGCCTTTTATGGATGAGTTTTAAACCATCGAGGAACAGATAATCCTTGAAAAGATAAGAAAACAAATTTACAGGCTGTGGCTAACAGTTGACTTGATACCAATACAAGACAACTAATTTGCTGGGTATATTGGTCATAACTAGTAAAAATGAATATTCATAAACACAGTGGGTAAATATTTCCACTTCTAGCAATTATCATGAATAAATTGTTCCAGATGTGCACAAGAATATCCACTGCACCATTATTTGTAATGGTGAAAAGCTGAAAACAACCTAAAGGCTGCCAACAGGAAGTCAAATAAGTAAAATGGACACACCACTATGCAATATTAAGCAAATGTACTAGAGCTACATGTGTCAACATGGAGACATCTCAGAAATTAACATTGAGAGAAAAAAGCAAATTTTAGTAGAATATATGCCATACAATACTGTGCCTATAGTTTTTAAAATATGTAAATTATTACTATGTGTTTTATAAATATATGCCACACGTAGGTGGTTGTAATATTTAAATATGTTTGGGGATGACAAACATCAAAGTCAGAATAATCATTACCCCTGGAGAGAGAGGGAGGAGGAGAAATGACTTGGCAGAA
Source organism: Homo sapiens (assembly GCF_000001405.40). Classification (NCBI taxonomy): domain Eukaryota; kingdom Metazoa; phylum Chordata; class Mammalia; order Primates; family Hominidae; genus Homo; species Homo sapiens. The sequence goes on from NC_000006.12 coordinate 163,890,333, forward strand.
ATTCAAGGAGAGATTCAACTCCATCTGAAACATTTTCTTATCTAAAAAGAAATCTGAAGCAAACATAAGCATGGTCTGATTTGGTAAAGTTCAGTATTGGGATATGGGCGTTTCTTATACTGCATTGTTATTCTAGCACTTTACAATAAAAGCGTTTTAAGCAGTTTGTCCATCATAGGATCTGGCACATCTGAGTTTGCACGATCACTCTCCCCTCTAGGCACAATTCACGGCAACTCCAATTATAATTATGGCAACCAGAGTGCAGCTTGCTGTGCCTAGCTCCCGAGGGAAAGTCGGCTGGTGAGAGGGATCAGATGTTTAATGGCACTAACCTAAGAAAATCTAAGGTTATAGAAAGTCTTGCTGTTGGACTGCAAGTTCTTGAAGCTTATCTTCAACCTTTTAGATATTTTAATATAGTCTATATTTTAGTACTTGATATTTTAATATAATTAGTAAGAGTTGGGAAAAAGTTTGCAATCTACTCGACCTTTCCTTCCTCTCCCTCTCTTCCTTCCCATATTTCTTCCTTTCTTTTATCCTTCTTTCCTTTCTCCCTCCTCCTTCTTCAACTCCTCTTCTTCCTCTATCTCTGTCTTTCTCTTCTACTTATTCATTTGCTAGTATTTTTTTACACAGCTCTCTGTTTTGGTTCATTCCATGTGAATATTCTAAATTTAAATTTCATAGGGAAGCATTTTTTTCTCTTTCTTAGGCTCTGAAGGATGGAAGTAGGTTGTGGTATAGAAGTACTTCCAGGTAATCCCAAACTATGGTAATAGTATATAGCGGATTTTAAACTTTTATTTGATTTTAATTTCAATAAAAATAAATTTTTATTTACAGATTATTGCTCATGTAGAAACCATTGCAGATATAATTGTTTATATAGGTTTCATGCTATTTTTTGCTTATAATTTATTTTTTGAAAAAAGGTGATTTATATCTGACCATAAGTTATCATCATTATAAAGAAATTATAGTGTATTTCATCATAAAACTGCGACTAAATCATCTACTGGGGTTCTTTCAGCTAATGGAAGGCTTTAGGCAGGAACAGACTAAAGTTCTGGTGTTGGCTTTGCCCTACTCTGAATGTGTCGGTTTGGTCAATTACCATTCCTTCCTCTCAGTTTCCTCGTTAGTAAAATGAGAGAAATGGACTTTCGGAGGTTTTGTGAAGACCATATGTCACTTGTTTGGTAGCTCTAGTGTCTAGTGTTTTATTCCATGTGTTGAGCTGCCTCATAGTGAATGAGTTGGAGATACACCAATACATAGGAGTCCCCAGATGTCTTCATTGCAGATGACATTCAGTATTTGGTTGTCAGAATAAATACATAGCATGATCTGGGAGTAAAATGTATTGTTATGGCCATTGTTATGAGGAATTCTGTGGGGAGCTTTAACAGTCTCTGGTGAATTGTTTATTGAAAGATATTTTGACTGGAACTATTTTCTACAGTTTCTACTATCTGCCCTAATACCGAGAGAAACCTATATTATGTTATTTTTAATGTTTCAGACCTCAGGGAAAATGTGGTCAGTCTAAATTGTGAGCTTGGGTTTATGAGAAATAGAAATATGGAATAAGATTAAATGATTCTAAAGTTACTAAAAATTAAGTTCAACTGATTTGGGAAGGTGCTGTAAAATTAAAAATGAAGAAAATGAGGCTAAATGTGGTCTGAGTCAATGTCTAGTATCATTCCTGGTGTCTGAGTGTCAGCAAGAGTCCCCAGATACTGAGGACTGACTGAGATACATTGAATAGATATAATGAACGTATTTTCTAATTTTCTGATAGACAAAGTCAGAGAAATATAGGTCATAGTTATCCCTGTACAGAATCACCTGTGAAGATGACTAATATCCAAATATCCAGCCCTACCTACCCAAGATCTATCAAATCAAAATATCTGGGTAGAGCCTTAGCCAAATGTAGGTTTGACAAGCTCCCTGGTGGTTCTGATGCACTCCGTGTATAGGGGATCCCAGGGCTACCTCCTTCTTCTCCAAAACTCAGAGCAGGGGAGCCTCTCAAACCTCAAATCTTCCCTCTCTCTCCAGAGGTAATGATTATTCTGACTTTGATATTTGTTATCTACAAACATATTGGTTTGGTTTGGGTGCCCTGATTTCTCCCCTAGGCCTTTCTCCAACTGCATTGTAAGGAGGGTTTCCTGGGCAGATCTCCCACAAGACTGCAAGCCCACAGTGCAGGGACCATGTCTTAGTCAACCTTGTCCTGTGACTGCCCAGCAGAGGGGCTGGTGTGTTACAGGTGCTTGGTCAAGGTTTGCTGAATGGATGGTTCCATGAACGCAGTGGGATGCAATGATTGTAAAGTGTGTGACGTAAGCGCAATTGTTACAGAGAATACCACTTTTCATATCTTGTCTACAAATATAGTCTTCCCAGATACGGAATAGTAATGTAGCTTATCCCTTATTAGTATTATTAATATTAAATGTAAATAAGAATACCTACACTATTTTCAAATAAGCATTTTGGATGATTCACTTAACAACCTTGCATATGTTTTAAAAGCTCCCATTTTACAGATGAGAAAACTGAGTAAATGGGAGTTTAAGTCACTCTCCCTCACATTCCCTCCATTAAATCCCGAGTCCAACAATCCAGTGCCAGCCTTGCACCTGTGAATATTTATGCGGGGGCTGCAGAGCGGCCACTTCCTCCATCTGGCAGGACTGTTTTCTGGGAGCTTAGAGAAGCTGAATCATACAGTGAGACAATTTGGTGGAGGCTGGAACAAGGCTTAACTAGAGGCCATCTGCTACAAAGGACTAGAAAGCAAGGAATGGCTCTTAGAGGAATCTGTTTAAGCTGATAGACAGGATTTGGGGAGAAATTCTTGAAATAAATACTGAGAGGAAACCAAACAAGGATTGCATCTCAAGTTGGTGCTCAGGTATCCGTGGAGAGCGCACAGGAGAGTCTCACCTGCAGGGCCAGTAAAGAGGACTCAGAAACTTCATGGGTCAGGTTGCGGCCCGACTGGCCTGACAGTCAACGAGGTGGAAACCGTGACAAATTCAGACGCCAGGGCTTTATCCAGTTGGGTAAGAAATGACCAAGTTCCTTACACTTGTTCACTTTGAAAAGGCACCACCAAGTAGAGAGGTGCCAGAGAGAAGAAAAAAATAGAGGTAACTTTGATGCTAACAGAACGTAGAGTCCCTGTCCATTGGTGGTTTCCCTCGGCTTATTCCACTGCCCACCGCCTGGGGTGACCTAACTCATAATGTTTAAGGGCATGGACTGATTGACGCTCACTTGTAAACTCTATGAGGATTTTTCATTTGTTTTGTCTTTTGCTATATAAAATGCTGTCTTGCTTTTACAAATATTTGTTCAATAGACTGCGGAGTGAGGCAGACCCGTACTTAAATCCCATCTCTGCCACTTACCAGCTGTGATTTTGGACAACTTTGTTCATTTCTCCAAGCCTCAGTTTCTTCATCTATAAAATGGGGACAGTAATGTTACCTGCCTGTTGATTTCAAGGATTAAATACTGAAACTGTAATAAGCTGGAGACAGTTTGTGCTCACTTCAAGAGCCAGTGGTTAAACTGTTGGCAGCTTGGAATTGGCAATGGTGGAAGAATTTACACAACAGAAGTTGGCAAATAAGCATCTTTGCTTTGTCCCACAGAACTGGTTGTTCACCATTTCCCAGAAGACTTCTGAACATTAGGCACTGGAACACAGCACCTGGCACCCAGACCTCCACAAGGGCTAGATCCTGATATTTAACACACAAGATGGCGAGGGAGGGGTGCCTTCCTGGATAAATAGCTTGAATGGGTTGATAAGAAAGCAATTGTGTGTGAAACTGCAGTTAGCATATGCTCATTGAAAGGGAGAACATGCTAAAAGTCCCAGAACTGAACTCTTGGCAGAGATGAAGCTGGTCAAAGGAGAAATTTGAGGATGTTCAGAGTTAACAGGTGTCTGTTCAGTCTTTGTTGACCTGGATGCTAATACTTCGACTGTTTTGGCACAAGATCCCTGCCTTTTTAAAATTTATTTTCTACTAGTTTATGGTCTTCTTGGACTTGCGCTTTTTTTTTTTTTTTTTTTTTTCTGACAGAATGAGGCTGGAGTACAGTGGTGCAATCTCAGCTCACTGCAACCTCTGCTTCCCAGGTTCAAGCGACTCTCCTGCCTCGGCCTCCCAAGTAGCTGGGATTACAGGTGTGCACCACCACACCTGGCTGATTTTTGTATTTTTAGTAGAGATGGGGTTCCACCATTTTGGACAGGCTGGTCTCGAACTCTTGACCTCAGGTGATCCACCTGCCTCGGCCTCCTAAAGTGCTGGGATTACAGGCATGAGCCACCATGCCTGGCTGCACTTTTGATTATTTGCATTGCAAACCACCTTGAATAACTAAAGCTATGAGCAGACATCACTACAGACATTCTTCTCATGGATCTTATGAATGCTGAGTAGCCTATATTAGATTAATTTATTCAAATGCTTACACCATCAATGCCACTTTTTTGTTAACATCTTCAGGTTGATGTCTAATGGAAGGCCTTTCTTCACACAATCTATTTATACTACAATTTGCTTCCAGTAAGTTTCTCTAATTAATGTGGGATTATTATAATGACTACTTCCTAGTACCCATGGGAAAGAAACTATATTTATTATGACCATATGTCCCAGATTTTCTAAGAAGGTTCCAATTTTATAAAATTTTATTCATTTCAATTAAGGAGATTCATTATATGTCAAATAATCATTATCTAATTTTATGCCCCTTAAAGACTCGAATATGAATGAGTTTACATATTATAAAAATAGTATAGTTTCTTAATGCAAAAAGGAAATTAAAAAATCATACAAAGGTAAAACAATTAAATCACATCTGGTCATAAATCTAATAACTCCCATTTATTAAAAAGAAGAAAATTACCCAATATTAAAACTGTCTTGGATGATTCAGGACATGTGGTCACCATACATGGTCTTGGGCAGATGGTGATGGATGGTAATCAATGTGCAGTATATTCATGGAAGAACTACTGTGTAACAATGCCCACAGGATTAAGTTTGATAATCCAGACAGAAAAAGAGCTAAAGCAAATTATTACATGGTTATTCAATTTTAGAAAAGTCAAACTATGTAACTTTTTCATTACAGGAAAGAACCCCCAAAGGATTAATTCTAAAATATGTAAATAATCTACAGGAAATGTGGAGACTGATTAAGAAATCCCCCCCCCCCTTTTTTTTTTCTCTTCTAAGGACAGAAAGGCAGTGAATTCAGAAAACAAAAAGTTGCATATGACTAACTGGATCAAGAACAGAGGCCGTCATGAGTGGGCAATGGTGCTTTCCACAAAAGGAAGATGGTCTAAGCAAAGAGAAAACAAACATGAAGGAAATATAGTGCGTTCTTTAGGTTGAGGGGGAGGAAATTAACATGATTTTGAGCACAGTTATGTTTCAAAGACTGCACTAGGGGCTTTAGATCTATTTTAAAATTTTGATTCTCAACAGTTACTGTTGTCTATACTGAACCCAGAATTTGAATGTAGGTCTATCAGATTTCAAAGCCCTCTCTTTTCAGGATGCCAAACTGACTCCCAGCCACTTGTTGGGCCTCTGGGGCCTCTGCTAAATGCCAGGTTCTTCACAGGCAAGTTCGCAGTCCCAGAAAAACAATTACAGTATTTTTTTTAGACAAGTGTGTTTCATTTATAATATAATATCCCTGTTTTAATTTACGAAAGTTCTTTTCTGTTATCTGAATGTTCCATTATAAGATTTTTCATTTTTATGATAAAATCAATACAACATATGAAGGCAAAATTAAAAAGAAGATAGCAGAGAAAGATGAAACAAATTAATCACATTTGCTTTAGAGTGGTCCTTTTAGCTGGCTGATCTCAATGCTTAATTTAAACCTAGTTTAATAATTTTGACCCAAACTGTGATTCCAAAGAATTAGCTGGGGAGCTTGATATCACTGCAGTTTTGTAAGCCTGGTAACTACAGGTTTCACGGTGGTGACTCTGGAGTGTGGCTTGCAAGCCCGTGCTTACACAAGTTCCCCTGTTCATCTGCCTTAGTCTTAACTCTCTCATCTACAAAATATAAATGAAAAAACAAATCAGACGAGGTTGTTGTGATCCATGAGATGATGGATCTAAAGCATTGATATGGTTTGGCTGTGTCCCCACCCAAATCTCATCTTGAATTGCTCCCATAATTCCCTCGTGTTGTGGGAGGGACCCAGTGGGAGATAATTGAATCATGGAGGCAGTTTCCCCCACACTGTTCTCCTGGTAGTGAGTAAGTCTCGCAAGATCCGATAGTTTTATAAGGGGAAACCCCTTTTGCTTGGCTCTCATCTTTTCTCTTGTCTGCTGCCATGTGAGACGTTCCTTTCACCTTCTGCCATGATTGTGAGGCCTCCCCAGCCACGTGGAACTGTGAGTCCATTAAACCTCTTTCTTTTGTAAATTGCCCAGTCTGGGGTATGTCTTTAATCAGCAGCATGAAAACAGACTAATACAAGCACTTTGGAGGTATTTGGCATACAATATGGGCAACTGTTAGTTGAAGGTACCTTACTTTTTTAAACATGCATCTTTCTTGGCTTTGTGGAAATAGGCCCCTTTTTTGTGTAATTTGTAGTGATAATGCTATCTTCGTCCTTCCAAATCTTTATGTGTCTTGTGTTTTTATTTCTTGAGACCAGTCTCTTTATAAGGCCAGGATGAGCCTCACTTACTCTCGAGCAAGCTGCATGCTGCTTAGGCAATGCTGTGAAGTGAGGAAAACACAGTTTCTGTCCTCAGATGACTTGCTACAAACCCATGGCCTTGGTGAGTGAAAGTCGGGTCAAAATGAATCACCGGTGTTAATGAGCCTCCTTGGCAGAAGCCACAGGCAGAAACAGTGCTCTCCCCAGGATTCTGTGGGATCATTTGCCTTTTGTCCTGGGTGTCAGCCCCAAGTCCTTGTGCCAGAGCTCCGATGAGGGAATCCTTGCTTGGGGCCGTGCATCCTGACACTAACATCCCAGGCGGGTGAGCCCCCGAGGCGGTTGCAGGGATTTGTTCACCTGAAGCTACAGTTAGCTGGTTCTCTCTCTTCTTGAGACTGAAAACAGAATGATCTCCTCTTTTTAAATTTAAATTTTATTAAACAACACGTGTATGTAGTTTAAAAAGTCAAATAAGACTAAAACATTTAAAATGCAGAAGACAACATTCCTTTGACTTTTTCCTTCCGCTGACCAAAGCCCCCACTTGTACTATTTTAGATAATTCTTTCGGTATTTACCTCCACATTCTAAATATTATACAACTCTTTTTATTTTTTTTTAAATGATAATATTTTGACTTTATGGAAATGAAAGATAAACATTTAGCTCTGGCAGAGCTCTCCTGACCCTCTCCAACTCTCCCTTTCCCCATCCTCTTTGTAGATTTAGATCACGATTTTTGAAAGTCAGTGTTTACACTAATGTGATTTGTTCACAGATGATGACAGTTCTGCTCTTGTGCAACATTTGTAGACACAGGGGCACCATGTGATGACCAAGGCAGAGATTTCAGTGAAGCAGCTGCAAGCCAAGGATTGCCAGCCACCTGTAGAAGGTGGTAGAGGCAGGAAGCGTCCTCTTGCACAGGCTTTGGAAGGAGCGTGACCCTGGCGATGCCTTGTTTGTGGACTTGTGGCCTCTAGAACTGTGGGAGGATACATTTCTGTTATTTTAAGTCACCCAGTTTGTGGCTATTGGTTGCAGCAGCACTGGGAAAGTAATGTGGTCCCATCGATTCTACTTTAATTTCTCTCCATATTGATCCCTTTACAATCCAAGTGTAATGGTCTTTGTTAAGGCCCTATTATGTCTTACCTGGATTACTGCAATGGAAATTTTCTTATTTATTCTGGAGTTGGTCCTGCCGTATCTTCCCGCTTGGATATATGACTCTCTCCGTTCATCTATCTTGTGAACTGCTCTGGCTCTCTCATTATTGTTTTAGTGTTCTTGACATCGGTCCATTTTCTGTTGCCAGCTCTCCCCAGTGGCTACGTTCAACAGCGTTTGTGGATATAGCTGATTACTAGACAGTAACCGTGATGGGACACCATCAGGCTCCCTGGGTTTCACCATTACTATTGGAAACCAAAGGTTTTGGATTAGTGATGCTTAGTTCTTTCTCATTCTGACTCCTTAAGACTCTGCTATCTTAAGCGTGCCCTGCTGCCACCATTGGCACTGCCTGTGTCCGTGGGCCACATCTATCTCAGTTGAAGCAGTTGTGAAGGAGCCAGACAGAGCCAGGGGGAGTGTCAGGGGCTGGAGTGAGGACCTGGCAATGCTGGACATGCTGCCTTACCTGCAAAAGGAAGAGACTTAAACCTTGTGATCTCTCCACATCTTCCAAGCTCCAGCCTCAGATGGGAGATGTCGGCACATGAGGTTGGAAACCATCGCCAGCGTTGCCTGAGGCCCTGTCCCGACGCATGCCCTGTGCTGATGCCCTGTCCCGACACATGCCCTGTCCCGACGCATGCCCTGTTCCATTTAATGCAACAATCATCCCACTGGACTGGAGGTTGGCAACTAGGGTAAGCTTGCTGAATTTGCTTTGTGGGTAAGAGTAGCTCCTTTGGGGCAGCAAAAATGCCTGTCATTTACATAATAGGAAAGATATATTTTTAAGCTTTTTGTCTAAATTAAATAATGACGGTGATAGTCAACACTAACTGAGTAATTACTATGTACTGAATAGTGTGCTGCGGGAATTGCTTGCCTTTCCTCAAGTTAATGCTTATCAGGATTGACAAATTCATTCTGCACATATTCCAGACCCCTCTTTTTAGACATGAGGAATACACAAGCAAATAGATAACATGAATTCTCTGATCTCCTGCAGCATTGTAATTATTATCTCCACTTTACAGATGAGCAAACTAAGGTTTAGCAAGCTTAAATGACTTGCCTAAGATCATGCAACCAGTAAACAACAAGAGACAGGAACAAACTCATTTCTCTCTTACTCTAAAACTCATGCTTTTGACACTAGGCCATGAATGTATGTGCATTATCACAAAGCAAGGAACAAGATCTGGAAGTCCATAGAGGCATCTAATCGCTAAGCAAGAGTTTCAAGCGCCCAGTTTCTTTATTCTACAGAGAAATTGCCAAAATGTTTGTGTACAGATTGTAGACATGACTAGCTAATATTAGTGATCAATATTTATAGGTGACTTTCCAATATAGGAGGCAGGGTTATTAGTATTTAGGGGAGGGAGAATTTGCCAGTGCTCTCTGCAGATTTAGTTCCTGGTCAGTCAAGTAGGACAGACGGTTAGAGGACACAGCACTTGCTTTTGAATCCGTGGCTGAGTACTGGAGGAAAAACAGGAATTGCTTTATGGGTCAGGGCAATAATGTCTTGAAATTGCTGGACGTAACCATTATTACGCTTGCTTGTTTCCCCAAAATAAGACATAGAAAGAAGTCTGGGCCGGGCGTGGTGGCTCACGCTTGTAATCCTAGCACTTTGGGAGGCTGAGGCGAACAGGTCACTTGGGGTCAGGAGTTCGAGACCAGCCTGACCAACGTGGTGAAACCCCATCTCTACTAAAAATACAAAAATTAGCTGGTTGCGGTGGTGTGTGCCTGTAATCCCAGCTACTCAGGAGGCTGAGGCAGGAGAATCCCTTGAACCCAGGAGGCGGAGGTTGTAGTGAGCGGAGATCTTGACATTACACTCCAGCCTGGATGATGGAATGAGACTGTGTCTCAAAAAGCAAAAACAAAAACAAAACAAAAACAAAAACAAACAAAAAGAAAAGAAAAGAAAAAAGAAAGTAGACTGAATAGACATTACTCCTTTTTATTTTTTGATAACAAGTTTACACTGGAAATAACAATAGTTACCTTTTTTTTTTTTGGATAACCTTAATTTGTCCTCATTTGAAGCATTAAAATTTATGAAAAGCCTTTTAGTCTAACTATGCAGTCGCCATCTCTTCAACTTCTCACCCCCACCTCCACAAGGGAAAATTCATCTTGCAAAGCTTTTCGAGGAGCGTATATTTCATGTGAATATGCCTTTCCCATTTCGTATGCCTTCCCCCGTAGTTTTACATGACTTCTTTTGGCCACTGTTTCATTAATAGCATTAGGATTTTTATTTTCCTGATCTGAGGGCAGGAGAATTGGACCCATTCTATCTGGTAATTCATCAAACAGTTTCTCTACCACAAAGAACATTTTTTCTTCCCTCTCTCTGGGTTTCTGGCAGCTCATCTCACCCTGCCAGGGGGAGATTGAACACTTTACTCTTTTGAAGAGTTCACATCAGAAGATTTCACCACATGCCTCTAAGATTTCACCTCATGAGAAATTCCCCTTCAAATCTGTGGTTTTGCCTCTTCCCAGGACCTTTTGAATTCCGTAATGGCGTCATGTGCTGGCTGTGCAGTTTGCCCCCTTTGAAGCATTTACAGATGCTTTTAGGAGTCTCTTTAGAAAGAAAATGGTTGGTGGTCATGGTGGGGGAGGGGTTGGAAATCCCTCAGCAGCCAGAAGATGGTCTCTGAATAATTCAGGACACACCGCGGGGCACTGCTAATACCAGCTCTCCCAGGGCCGGGGTAAATATTAACACTCTTATTTCTGGTCTCTGGGGAAAATAACAGTAATAGAAGAGGGTGTCTCTTGGCCACACGTGATTTCAAGTGGGTTAGGCTTTCTCGAAACTCTGGCTGTACATCAGCCTTTCCTGGGGGAATTTAAACCAAGCCCAATGTCCAGGCCCCTCACCAGGCCTGTGGAATGAGAGGTCCTGGTAGTGGGACCAGGTATGGTCGTCTTAGAAGTTTTGCAGCCGGCTCCGATGCACACCCGGCGCTGAGAAGCTGAGAGCCGCTGCTGCAGGCCTGTGCCCAGGCTGGGTCACGCTACGGAGGAGAAGATTTTGGAAAGAAGTAGAAGTCCTCACGGGCAACTCCCTGCCATCCACACCAACCTCCCCTTCTTGTTCTCTCCTTCTCATCTTAAACTTTCGAGAGGAAGAAGGGTTGGTCAAGGGTGAACGTTCCTGGGCATGGTGAGAGGCTGCTCTGTGGTGCCCACTCACACTGAGAGGGACCAGCTGGGGACGCCTGATGGTGCCACTGAGGCTTTGGGGTCCCCTTTCAGAGGGGGGCATCTTAACGCGAGTCTTACGGTCTTTCCTGGGTTCCCATGCTCGGCGGCGGCTCCTCCACAGGCCTGTCTTCCCTTTGTTCTGGAGAATGTTCTGCCTGGGCGGAGCATTCGGTGCGGTTACGTGGGTGCGGTTCTCCAGGGAGAGCGCGGGGGTCTCTTCAGGGTAATGCCAACCTCACCGCCAAATGCAGCTACCTAGCACTTGTGTTTACCTTGGGGAAGCTGCAGTGCTCAGACTCCTCTGCCTGAGATGCAAAAAAAGCATGTTCTGAAAAGAGGAGGAAAAGCCTGGAGAAATGAGGGAGAAAAGTAATATTTCCTACTTTGCTGAGCTGGCACTTAAGTGAAATAAAGGAAACATTTTAAAATAAAAAATCAGGCAGTTTGTGTATTTGGTCACCTCGATTTGACTGTTTAGCTCATGTTTGTTGATCTCTAGATGTTTGTGTCAATTCTGCATAGATTAGTTAAAATCTTCACTAGAGAGCTTCACAAGGCCAGGGAAGAAGGCTGCTGGGGGCTGCCACGCACCGGGGCCTCCTTGTCAGCCTCTTTTTCGGCAAAAAAAAAAAAAAAAAAAGAAAAAAAGTATCCTTGCCGAAAAAAGTATACCACGGCAAAATGTTGTAGTTAAGCACAGGCATTGATGAAAAATTAATCCTTAATGTTTTCTTATTATAAAAGTGACATATGTTGTAGAAAAGTTAGCAAATATTGATAATCCAAATTGATGCCACCCTTTGGTTAAAAATACCTGTGGATTTTGTTTCTCTCCCCACCTACTCACCCTTGCCACAAAAATGGAACTGTTGCATCATGGCCCCACTGCTTTGTAACCTGCTTTTTGTGTGTGTGTGTGTGTGTGTGCTAAAAAGTGCATATATTTTTATTTAATATTATTTTGAAGATTGAATCACATCCCATAAAATTGATGTACTATAATTCATTTACGTGATCCTTAAGTTTGGACATAAAGTTTAGACGTTTAGGTGTTTTATTTTTTTAATTTTTTATGTTTTTTACTTTTTTCCCTGACTTCATTTGTAATGTTCTGCGATGAACATACCTTAACTAAATATCTGGGCCCATCCAATGGTGTACTGGAGATGGTTCGTGAAGCTCCAGGGAAAAAGAAAATGAATTCCCCATTGCTGTGGGTCCCGATTTTCTGTGGTGCACTTTCTTCCACTGTGGTCAGTTGAAACACCAGTGTGAAGGCCCTGAAGGTGGGGCTGGGAAGGGGTGAACATATCAGCTCTTGCAAGCCAGGATAAGCTGGCGCCTGAGTACAGCTGGGACCACCCATGCTAATGTTTTAGGATAAATTCCTAAAAGCGGAATTTCTGGGTCTAAGGGTATGAACATTGTCACATATTTTGTTTTGTTTTGTTTTGTTTTTTGAGATGGAGTTTGGCTCAGGTGATCGGCCCGCCTTGGCCTCCCAAAATGCTGGGATGACAGGTGTGAGTCATTGCGCCCCGCCCATTGTCACATATTTCGTAGGTGTTGTCTAGTTGCCTTTCAGAAATATCAAAATCTATATTCCCATCAGGAGCCTATAAGGATGTTCTCAAGTGTGTAATTTGTCCTGAGATGGAACAGACTGCCTCTCCAGGCCACGAGAGCGCCATCTGTGGGGGTCTTCTCACTTAAGCCTGACGACCAACCGCTTGGCAGTGCATTCCAATATGAAAGCGGTGGTTGGAATCTTCTAGGTGCCTCTTTCAGCTCTGAGATGTTAGGAGAAGTTAAACAAAAAAAACAACAAATGAGATGCCAGAAGGTAACTCATGATAAATGCCAGACATCAAGTGCTGTAAAGGTTCAGAGCAAGAAGAAATTGGTGCGTGGGAACCTGGCTAGGAATTCCTTCCAAAAGGAAGAGAAGGTATTAGCTGGCGTTGGGGTTACTGTGTCTTTATCCATTCCCTTCCCATCACAGAAGCCTGGATTCTTTACATCAGCAACAGACTGGATGGAGGCAGGAGGCAGTGCGGACCAGAGAGAGGAGTTGTTGCCCGCAGGGTGCCCTTTGAAGACTGCCTTTGCCACCATCTGCAGCGCGTGGGGCAAGGTAATTCTCCAGAATGAAATCCCTGCCTGTGTTTCTGGCCAGTTTTTCTCAGTCAGCCCCCACCCGACTACTTTCCCTGCTGCCTCTCTCTTTCATATTAAGACTTTAAACATCCAGATTGTAATTCATCTTTCCACCGTTGCACACAGCACCGGTCTGATGGACAGAAGTGTGTGGTCCCAATTAGATCTGCAGCTCTGATTCCCTGCCTGGGATTAGACTTTTGTGCAATTTGCTTGAGTTTGGACAACTCAAATATCAGATAACATTAAGGTTTACATTCTCTGTAGAAACCTGTCCCAGGAATTCGTTGATGTTTGCAGCATCCGATTACTCTATAGCCAGAGAAGGCCAAGAGTAGAACCTTCTATTTTTCTTGTTGACCTTTGAAAAGTATCATCCTGTGACTTCCTCTGTAAAGCCCATGACCTTCAAGCATCTAAATCTTCAACTTTTCCAAAAATTATGCTGCTTTTTTCCCAATGTTTTCTTTAACAGATATTAGAATGGCATCAGTGTTTGCTTTCACTAAGAGGAAGCGGAGTCCTGGGAGAAAGAGCCGCAGCCTGTGATTGCACAGCCTTCCCTTGATGGTACCTTTACCCTGGCATGTGAGCTATCAGCCGACTGGGGATGCTTTCAAATGAGACAGGAAACAGTTTAGGGTAAGAAATGCTTTTAAAAAATCATTCTCACGCCAGATGAAATCTCAGATCTTGCAATTTTGTTTGTTTTCTCCCTTCTCAGCTGTTTCCCTTTGAAGTCAAAGACTGCTATTTCTTTGTGTGAGTGCAGCTGTGACTAGTCGATCATGGTTTATTTTAAGACAAGAAAAGAAGTGGAGCAAAGAAATACCGATTGTTATTTGTCATCCATTAGCAAAATTCAGATGCACCCAGTCTTGTTCAAATATGCAGATGCAGGTTCCCTACATCGAGACGTTCAGGCTCGGGGTGCCATGCCCAGATGAATGGGGCAGCTTGGAGGCTTCTTGTCAGCCCTTGCTCAGGTCTTCTGACAGCAATGCAGGACGGGAGTTGGCCATTATCTTTTCTTATCCATGTTCATTGTCCCTGCCTGAGTTCAAGGCTTTATTCTTTTGGGTCTGAATGATTGTGGTTGCTTCCTGATAAGTTTTCTCTAGAACCGTATCTCTGGCCAACCATTTCTGCCCATACCATACCCAGACAAACTCTGAAGAGTCATATAAATTATACCACTTATGTGTCTCAAATCTTCAGTGGCTCTCTATTTCCAAGGGGTAAATTCTGAGTCCATTACTTACCATTTACAGTGTTCCTTAGTTAACCACTGTCTTTATTTCCAGCCTTATCTCCCACTTCTCTTTCTGGATCAATCGCTGCCACTAAAATAGTGTGCTCCCAGCTCAACATCATGTTGCCAAGAGCTAGAGCAAAGCCCATGTCCACCACGGAGTCTGTGTTGGGTTGACACCCATGGGAACACTTTTCCTGCCCTGAATTAGATCTTTTCTCGTTTCTATCATGTATAGATTTTTAGAATCGATGGGGATTTTAGCTATTTTTGTCCAATTGTCCAGCTTTACAGATGAGAGAACTAATGTTGGGAGGAAGTGAATTACTCAAAGCAACTGATAATGATGCTGCCGTTTATTGGCTGCTTTTGTATATGCCTGGCAAAGTGCTAAAAACACCTCGCTGAATTACCTCAGCATCCTTATGCTATTAACAAGGAACTTCGGGCACAAAGAGGTTAAGTCACTAGCTGCCGTTTACCAGGATGGTAAGAACCAGAGCCAAGAGTCACGCCTCAGTGGCCTGATGTCACTCACAGCCGTTTCTCTGCACTCCACCTACCCATGAGCCTTGTCATATGTTATTTTGTTCCATTCGTGGATGTTTCTTATTTACCCAACTATATTTGTAAGCTTCTGGATGGCAGAGACCTTACCCTATAAGCCTTTGGACCACAAAGCATGGATTTTTTTTTTTTTTTTAATTTAAAATGGAGTCTTGCTCTGTTGCCCAGGCTGGAGTGCAATGGCGCCATCTCAGCTCAATGCAAGCTCCGCCTCCTGGGTTCAAGGGATTCTTCTGCCTCAGCCTCCCGAGTAGCTGGGATTACAGGCACCCGCTATCACGCCTGGCTAATTTTTGTATTTTTAGTAGAGACAAGGTTTCACCATGTTGGCCAGGCTGGTCTTGGACTCCTGACCTCAGGCGATCTGCCCACCTCAGCCTCTCAAAGTGCTGGGATTACAGGCGTGAGTCATTGCACCTCGCCAGATTTTTAATAAATACGTTTGTCCTGCCTCTAAAAGTCAGGATCCAGAGATGTTGAGGAACATGGTCGTGCTCTGAACGTGCCAGGCCTGTGCGCCATGCTCCTGTGTGGGCAAACAGATGGGCAATCACTCTTTCCCTCATGCACATGGTGTTAGCCTCATCACCTGTCTCTACCTATATCTCAGCATTCTCCTACACACTATTCTTACATGTATCACACATAGCGCTCTGCTAGAATTCTGCTTCCGTTACACACATTTCAAACCTTGTCCCTTAACAAGCACAAGAGGTCAAAGACCTAAATATGCTGCAGATCTGCTTCCACTCCCCGCCCCCAGTATTTCCCAATAGTATAATATCCGTGTGTTCCTTCCACCAACCCTAGCTCCATCTCTAGTCATTCCCAACTTAGTGTATTTTGAATAAATACATGAGTTTAATAAGTTCATAATAAGACTACGAGATTGACAGGAACTAAACAGAACTCTCTCTGCCCTCTGAGACTATACAGTCTGTTAAGAGGTCCTGGGGTCTGAGGAAAACTGGTATTTTTTTTTTGGAGTCTATTCCACATTAGCACAATGTGAAGCAACACACACTGCATCCTGTAGTTCTCATAAATATTTTTATCTTTGATTAATGAATGAGGAAATGAATTCTTTAACGATCTATCGCTCACTCGCTCACACAGCAGCCAAGAGGTGCAACTAGGATTTAAACTCACCTTTGGCTCTAAAATCCATGTTTTGCCTCCTCTTGCCCTCTGCAAGGCTTTCTGATGCCCCCACAATAAAGAGGGCAATGTCCTAAACTGCCTGCTGGTATTGACTGGTGCACTGTCTGCCTTCAGCACTGATGGAGTTTGGAGTTCGAACTCTGGGCTGGGCAAGTCTGGGGGAGGCTGGTGATATTTACAATGAAGTGAGCCTCAAGCTTTCATTTGACCAGTAAAGGAAGTGGTGACCACCTCAATTAAGGACCGGATCAAGAAGAAGTCATACCATTCATCTTGTGATAGACATGTAGGATATTCTGCAAAATGCCAGAGACACCATGTGACTAGGAAGTTTCTGGGAATTTAGCAAAATTCCCATGATGACCTTGTAAATACATAAAGAAGTGAAGATTGATGATAATCCTTCTGGAAGTTTTCATCATTGCACGCTCAATGTGTTGATGAACAGATTGAAAAAGTATTGCTGAGCATATTGAAAGAATAGGAGCAAGGTTTTATCCTGAGCCTTTTATTGTTCAGTGTTTTAATTAAGATCTTGGATGGAATACTGGAAGTTATGCCTAGCTCACTTGATAGGGGCATAGGAATTGGCACTGTTGATCTCTCCTCCTTCTTCAAAGTCTCCCTTCTTGCGGGGCCCATGACACAGTTTTCTTATTTTTCTGAATCTGGTCTTTGTCCATCTCTTTTACGTATTCTTTTTCGTTTGCTTATTCTTTTGTTTGTTTGTTTGTTTTTGTTTTTTGAGATGGAGTCTCTGTTGCCCAGGCTGGAGTGCAGTGGCACGATCTCGGCTCACTGCAAGCTCCACCTCCCAGGTTCACACCACTCTCCTGCCTCAGCCTCCCGAGTAGCTGGGACTACAGGCACCTGCCACCACGCCTGGCTAATTTTTTGTATTTTTAGTACAGATGGGGTTTCACCATGTTAGCCAGGATGGTCTCGATCTCCTGACCTTGTGATCCATCCACCTCGGCCTCCCAAAGTGCTGGGATTACAAGCATAAGCCACCGCACCTGGCCTTGTTTGCCTATTCTTTAGAGGTAACCCAGTTCCTCAAGGTTTCTTCTTGGGCCAGCCTCACCTCCAACTGCATGGGTGATGTCCGTCTGATTCCATGGCTTCAGTCTGCCATCTTCCAAAAGGACAACTCCTGGCTTTCAGACCCAATTGACCACTGATGTTTCTGCCTTCCTGTCCCATACGTATTTCATATTCAATCAGACCCAAACTCAATGCCTTATCTTCCACTATAAACCTCATCCTACTGTAGTCAGTGAATGTACCTCCTTTTTGCCATTTGTCTTTGCCAGAAATCCTGGCCATAGCCTCTGATTTCATTCTCTTTTCCACTGCCACATAGCAAGTCTGTGGTTTCTAACTTCTAAATACTTCCCCAAACATGCCCATCCTTCTCCCATTCCATCGCTATTATCTTAATGCTTTCCACCATTAGTGCTTCACTGAGGTTATGGAAATAGCTTCCAAATGTATGTCTCGTCCCTGAGTGGAACGTTGCCCCCTTTATTGCCTACTCACTGATACAGCCAGAGTGGTCGTTTACAAATGTAAATCTGGTCAGGAGGGCACTGGCCTGATGGAGGCAATTCAGTTGTTCCTGCACCTCTTGACAGCAAGTTTCCGAGAGAACCTGCTCTGCCCTGCACTCTTCAGCCTCTCCCCTCGGATCTCCAAGTCCCTGGACACAACACTCCAGGCAAACTGAATTTTTTTACATCTCAAATAGGGCCTGATTTCTTTCATTTTCTCTCTATACATGTTTTTCCCTTTGCCTGAAATATTCTTTCCTCTACTGGTGTAGCTAATTCCTGCTCATTTTTTTCTTCTCATCTTAGATTTCCTTTTCTTCAAAACATCTGATTCTTCAAGTCTAAATTAGCTAGCTGTTCCTTTTATCTGTTCACCCAGCTGTCACTCATATAGAGGTAGAATGGCTAAAATATGGGGTATCGAAAGATTGATGGAAAAAAATATAACACTTTGGATTTGAATGTTCAAGCGATATGCTGAGGTTTAGCAATGCTCGATATATCTTTTTTTTTTTTTTTTTTGAGACGGAGTCTCACTCTGTCGCCCAGGCTGGAGTGCAGTGGCGCGGTCTCGGCTCACTGCAACCTCCGCCCACCGGGTTCACGCCATTCTCCTGCCTCAGCCTCCTGAGTAGCTGGGACTACAGGCACCGCCACCACGCCCGGCTATTTTTTTGTATTTTTAGTAGAGACGGGGTTTCACTGTGTTAGCCAGGATGGTCTCGATTTCCTGACCTTGTGATCCGCCCGCCTCGGCCTCCCAAAGTGCTAGGATTACAGGCGTGAGCCACTGCGCCCGGCCAATGCTCGATATATCTTATAAACAAATAAAATAAACCACGTTAACCTGTGTGGGAGATCCGCCTGATTGCATCTCTCATTGGTGAAGGTGAGTCCCGCCAGGGACTCTCAGAATGCTCCTAGGAAACCTTCACACAGACTTTTTGGCAGATTACACATCTCTCACCCTCTCTAAAGTTTTCCTGGCTTGATTGAACAGATTTTCATTAAAGCAAGCCAGAATCCAGCCCCAGCATTTAACTGCGCTGCTGCAGGGAGTCATGCATTCTTTTGTAACGTGACTACAACTTTGATTCCCCACTTTCTTCCTAAGATTTGTTGTTGTTTAATTACATGAATTTCAAGGGTGTGACCCTGACATTTGGGAAGAAAATTAAAAATTTTTTTAAAAAGATGGTAAATGCAGCTGACAGCTCATTTGTCAATGCCAGTTCTACTGCCTACTCCTAACTGGTATGTGAAGAGCTTTACGAATCCAATTTGTAGCTTACGGCTAGTGTTAGAAGCAGTGAAACTTCATGGTTTTAGTTTGTGAAAATATTACCAGGCTATTGCCTATTTTCTTCTTTAGATGTTGTTTTTAGCTGTTCCAATGTTTTCATTTCTCTGCTTGAGTAACATCTAAAAAGACATGTATATAAAATCATATTATATTGAAGAGTATACTGAGCTATGTAAACCATCTTATAATAACTAAAACAACATAACACTAGCACACTGTAGGTTCTCAATAAATGTCTATTGAATTCCATTGAATAACGCTAGTTACTATATTTACTTATTTTAACTACAGAGAACTGCCTTTTTTTTTTGTTTACCAGTATTTCTAATATGCTTTTGGTAGGATTTCCTTTCAATGTATATTAATAGTTTTCCTTTATGACATTATGCATGATGGACATTGTCCTGAAGAATATAAAACTATATACTAGGAGGAAATAAAATGGAAGTTTTAAAGAAAATCATCATTTTACCTAGTTCAGCTAGTTAAATCCTGAGAGGAGAGTATTTAATTTTTTATTTCATTGTTCTTATGTCTCAGCTGAGTCTTAAATAATCATGGAGAAAACACACTGTACTGTTTTATTAAGAAATAAATAGCTATTCTCTAAGCAGGAGGATAACATAGTAAAATGTAATATTCTATTGCTGAGATAAAGAAATGAATAACGCTGCATAATGAAGCAGAGAAGGCTACTTTATAGAACAGCAATGAAGTGTGGCCGACCTCGGGCAGTCTTGATGGGTAGGGCCAGAAGGATGCACACCCGAATAGAGGTACTAGTGAAGAGCAAAATGACACTGCGAGGAAACAGTGCATGCATGCTCTGTGTCTTCTGTTCACTTATGGAAATAGATCCGTTTTTAAATCATGAGTGTAATGAATAACTGAGAAACATCATAATTGAGAAACAAAAATAATTCTGACTTCACATTCAGAGGGAGAAATAAACTTTGAGTTTAAGGTAATTAGTTTCCTTATAAAGCCTAAAGGTGTCAAGTATTTTTGGGGGGCTGTGACAAGTCCTAAAATCTTAATGTTTATGTTACCACAAGTGTCTTATTCCATCTGAATGGGCCCTTTGGTTAAATCTTTTACCAAATTTGAGAAATTTTCAGTCATTATTCTTCAGTTATTTTCTTCTGCCTCACTCTCTTTTCTCTCCTTCTGAGACTCCAATTGTACATAAATATGTATATGATTGTCCAACAGATCTTTCAGGCTCTGATTATGTTTCTTCAATTAATTTTCTCTCAGTTCTTTAGATTGAATAATTTCGTCTTTTTCTGCTGCTGTCTCTTCTTCCTCTTTGTCTTCTTTTTCCTCTTCCTGTTCCTCCTCCCCTTTTTCTCCTTCTTCCTCTTCTTCCTTCTTTCTTCCTCTTCTTCCTTCTTTCTTCATCTTCATCTTCGTCTCACTCTGCCATCCAGGCTGGAGTGCAATGGCACAATCCTAGGTCACTGCATCCTTGAACTCCTGGGCTCAAGTGATCCTCCCATTTCAGTCTCCTGAAAAGGTGGGACTACAGGCACCATGATGGGCTAAATCTTCTTTAATTGTTTGTAGAGATGGGGTCTTTCTTTGTTGCCCAAGCTGGTCTTGAACTCCTGGGCTCAAGTGATCGTCCTTCTTTGGCCTCCCGAAACGCTGGGATTACAGGCTTGAGCCACTGCACCTGCCCTAGGTTGAATAATTTCTATCTATCTTCAGGTGTAATGAATCTTCTACCATTTCTAATCTACTATTAAACCAGGCCCATATGATTTTAATTTTATAGTTTTCAGCTCTAGAATTTGCTTTATTTAACAATTTTTATTTCTCTTCTGAGATTGCATCTGTTTTCATGATGATAATATTTTCCTTTGAGTTCCTGAATGTATATTTATTTGATAGCTGCTTTAAAATCTTGTCTGCTAATTGCAACATCTAGGTTATAATCTGGAGTCATTTTTTTGACTGCCCTTTCTCTTGAGTTCTGGTCAATTTTCCTGTTCTATGTCTAGTGATTTTTAATTGTATTTGGGACATAATAATACAGAGAGTATGGGCACTGTCCTGTCCCTCTGAAGAGTATTGAATTTTGTTCTCACAATCTGGGCTCAAGCTCCAAATTCCATCTCCCCTGCAGTGGGCACAAGCTGAAGTCTCTATTATTTATGCCTCCAGCTGCTGTTTTCTCATGGGGATCACTGGGATCTGTGATCAATGAATGCACAAAGTGTGAATACAGAATTTAGGAGTCAAGGTTACCCCCTCTGCATCCCTCTCCCTTCCAGGATTCCCTCCCATACTTGCAGCTACTCCCCAATCCATCTGCTGTGTTCTCTGCCCTTTTTAGTGAGTAAGGCTGTGGCTTCTGCTGCTCAAAATGCAGGGGTTGGGAGTACCCTCAGGCAAAAAGCAGCAAGCTCTGGAATCTCACCTGTTGACGTTTCCATCGTTCGAGGCTGGCCTCCAATCCAGTTTTTACCTGCCATGTGGTCATTTTCAGTGCCTTAGTTTAAAAAAAAAAAAAAATGTGTCGGCCGGGCGCAGTGGCTCACGCCTGTAATCCCAGCACTTTGGGAGGCCAAGGTGGGCGGATCACGAGGTCAGGAGATTGAGACCATCCTGGCTAACACGGTGAAACCCTGTCTCTACTAAAAATACAAAAAATTAGCCGGGCGTGGTGGTGGGCACCTGTAGTCCCAGCCACTCGGGAGGCTGAGGCAGGAGAATGGTGTGAACCTGGGAGGCGGAGCTTGCAGTGAGCTGAGATCACGCCACTGTACTCCAGCCTGGGTGACAGAGTGAGACTCCGTCTCAAAAAAAAAAAATTGTTTCTATCTTTTCTAATTCTTTTTGTGGGAGGGTAGTCTGACCACGCCATCCACCATTACTCCCCTTTCGTTAAATTCAGTGACTCAAAATGGTACCATAATTTGGATAGACTGTTGGAAAGTGGTCAGTTTTAAAGATGTGTTTAATTTATACACAGAACTAACAAAGGTGAGAGGGTTATAGCAGAGAAGAGACAGTGCAAAGCGACTAATCTAGTGTTTTTTAAAATAGACTTTTAAAATGGCAAAACCCAAGATATTTAAAGTATTTATGTAATCACTTAAAAATGTATTAAAGAAATATTTGTAGAAAACATATGTAAAATTTACAGTATGGATAATTTAAGATGAGTCAGATGTGAAAGACTTCTCAAGGAACTCAAATTCAGAAGAAATGGGAAGAGATGCCCAAAGTGGTGAAGGTGAATAAAGCTGGAGAACAGATAGGATGTTGTTTGAATCCTTCCCTTAAGAATGTCCTTTGTCACTGAAATAGCATGTGTCTTGAGACCTGGTCTCAATGAAAGTCACCAGGGAATAGTTAAACAGCAAAATGCTAGGTAGCTGTATTCTAGGGGAAAATGAAAAGGGAGGTAAAGGTAACTGAAACAGGAAATATTATAGAAGTTATAATTTCTACACAACATGGAATTCTTTAGATTCAATTAAGAAGTCCTCTGCTGCTTTATAAAGCACCAGAAGTTTCAGCACTGGTGGGTGGAGGTAAGATAAATGCTCCAAATTGAGGAGAAAGCACCGTAGTCTTCGGAGGCAAATATTCCAGGAAACAAATCTCCTGAAATGCGTGGGTAAGATGTGACCTTTGGGCAGCTATGCCCAGGAAGGCTGACAATTCTCTGAATACAGAGAAGAAACCATCCAGGCAGATGAATATGGAGTGGGACTTAGCGGTGTGAGGCAGAGCTAGGCAGGAAGAAATGGAACGCCCAGTCCAGCCTGGGTCAGAAATCACTCAGAAGACACCCACGCTGCAAGTTGCATCAAGCCTCTGGTGAATGGGCATTTGACATTTATGCACGAACTGTGAAAGCTAGATAGGTAGAGAGATAGACATATACGCATATAGATAGCTACACATGCATACATATAAAATGGGACTTCACTGTTCAGAATAATGTACGTAGTTATCATTTCCTCTGTCAGGGCAATGTTTCCCAGTTATTTTGCTGTCTTTTTTACAAATAAGCCTTTCTAAATTTTGTTACTGAATTAGAACTCAAAGAAAAAGTTATTTCAATATTTTGGCCCTAGAATGGACAAGCCGGTTTGGCAGCATCTTTTACAGACTCCTGCCTCAATCAAACACATGCCACAGGTGTGCAACAAGGTGTAATGGAAATCAATTATGGTACAATGAAGAGTGGAGAAACTTTATCTGTAAACTCTTATGAACTCAGTTTAAATCAGAAAACACTGTAATTGAGTATGGATAGGAACTTTGTTTCTGTCCTGTTCTATATGGCAATAAGTCTGGTGGGCGATGAACCTGTCACAATACATTTAAAATGGCAATGAATATGTGATGTCTTTGCACAAAAGAGAGCAACTTCAAGAAATAAGATATTCTATATGGTTATAACTTGCAAATGAATAAACAGGCTTTCATCTCTGTGACCTTGTGCATTTAGTATGTGTGTGGGCATTCATGGGTTGAATGTTTGGGTGGCAATAATTTTACATGGAATGAATGAAGCCATATTATTTGTTTCCCTCCATCTATCAGTCAAGCATTAGTCTTCTCTGGACCAAGGTGTCCATCATCATCCTCACAGCTTCTGTTGGGATGCCATGTGATTCCTAACACCAGCCTCTACTTTGGTTCTGGAATACACTGGTTTCTTCCAGATCATTATGTGGTTTCCTCTCCTTTCCCAGAACTCACATGCAGTCAATCTGAATTTTAGAATTATTTAATATTAAGCAAAGTAAAAATCAGCTGGAGAAATTACAGGTTATAAGAATTTTTCAGTCTAATACTCTATTTTAGCAAACTTTTATTGATGCATGATGTACAGAAAAGTGCACAGATCACAACTACACAGCTCAGTGAATGCACAAAGTGAATACATCTTGTTCACCAAGCCCAATCCCAGGAAGAAAATGCTGCCAGTGCTACTGAAGTTCCCCTTGTTCCTCTCTCGATCATTGTCATCACCCTAAAGGTAATTACTATTCTGACTTCTAAAGCCAAAGATTAATTTTGTCTGTCAGTGAACTTCATATAAATGGAATCATGTGGGGTGTACTATTTTTGTTCATGTTCTTTCTCTTCATGTTGTGAGACTCATTCACGCTATTGCATGTAGCTGTAGGCTGTTTTTGCTGTGAAGTGTTTCATTTTATGGATATACCAAAATCTGTTTTTCTCTTGTATATATTTGAGTTGTATTCTCATTTTTGGCTATCATAAATGGTGCTGCTGTGAACAACCTTGTACAGGTCTTTGGATGCACAAAAGTACACATTTGTCTAGATACAGAGGAGTGTCATTTCTGGGTGACAAGAGATGCATATGTTCAGACTTACTAGATACTGCCAGTTTTCCAAAGTTGTTGTACAAATATACACTCACACCAGCAATTTATGAGAATTACAATTGTTCCACTTCTGTGTCAACTCTTGGTATAGTCAGTCTTTTTAATTTTAGCTTCTCTGGTGGTCATATAGTAGTATCTTTTTTTGTTGTTGTTTGTTTGCTTTCTTTTGGTATGAGACAGGGTCTTGCTTTATCATCCATAGAGTTCAGTGGCGCAATCACAGCTCACTGCAGCCTCAACTTCCTGGGCTCAAGCAATCCTACCGCATCAGCCCTTCAAGTAGCTGGGACTACAGGTGCACCACCACGCTGTCTAATTTTTGTATTTTTTGTAGAGATGGGGTTTCACTATTTTGCCCAGGCTGGTCTTGAATTCCTGAGCTCAGGTGATCCACCTGCCTCTGCCTCCCAAAGTGCTGGGATTACAGGCGTGAGGCGCTGCGCCTGGCCTTATCTTGTAGTTTTAATCTGCATTTCTTTGATTACTAAGTGACTAAGGAATTTTGTATACTTATGGGCCGTTTCGATGTCCTCTTTTGCAAAGGGTTTAGCCTGCTTTTCTGTTCGGTTGTCTCTTTCTTGTTGACTTTTGTGGGTTATCTACGTTTAGATGGAAGTGCATGATGACAAGGGATTCAGTGCAGCCTTGGATTAGAACTTGCCCAAAGTCCTTGCTTGTTCTTGAGGACTCACTGGAGGTTTCTTATGATGGCAGTTTAAGCCTCTGTCTTCTACGTTCGGTGAGATTCCCTGGCAGGACCAGACCGAGAATGAGGTGACAGAGGAGACTCTCTATGGCATGTGTCTTTCTTGCCTTCCTACTTGCCTTGAACAGATGGGAAGAAGTTGGTGTTAACCTGTGTGCTTAGTTAAGAATGTCGGTGCCAATAACCCCATGAAACTAGCTACCACTTGGTGACACTCACCAAATGTCCTGCATTGGGGCTGAAATTGCAGGAAAATAAAAATCTTTCATGTCCCACAGAGAGTTGGAGGATCCCAGAAGTTAAAGAACAAGTTCAATGTCAACTTGTCTAAATAAAATTTGCCCTCAATAGCACCCCTGACAGATGGTGGCCCCAGCTCTGCCCATCAATTCCAGTGACAGGAAACCCAACTCTGTAATATTCAAGGCAAACTGACCCACTATTGGCCAGCTCTGATGATGAGAAAATTCTTGTCTACATTCATATATGTAATGTGCCTCTCTGTTACTTCCACTGCTGATCTTAGATCTTTTCTCTGGAGGCAGAAGGGAGCAAAGGCACTTGCTCCCTTGCTTATGAGAGTTCTTTAAATATTTGAAGACATTCACTACGTCATGAGGTCACCTCTTAATTTTTCCTTTAGACTAAACATAAAAAACTAACCTCCTTGAAATAGACATCAGAAAAGCACCCTAGTCACAGAATACACTAAAATCAAAGATGAGTAATTTATTAAAGTATTTATTTTCTGATTCGAGAACATATATCATTTTCCCTTTTGTTTATTTTTCCTTTTATTAAACAGTAATTACCAAGTGGATCCCAGTAGGCTCATTAAAATGTTTAAATTTCATTATTACAGGTAATACCCCTCATTTTGTAGGCCGGTTTCTTCTTGCCTGCCAACACCTGCTGTTACCTTTTATTCTGATGATTGTTAACGGAATAATTCTGCGGTGGGGATCTTTTCAGTGTGTGACCCTGGTGAATAGCAAAGCCCTGTTCGAATTTTCCTTCTGTGTGTTGTTCATAATTCAAGGTAATCTCCAAAATGGTTGTAATGTGTCTTTTCTCATTTACATGAGAAACTGTCATTCAAAATTTTGTTTCCTGGAACTGGAGAAATTTCACAGAGCTGTTCTGAACATACACTGCACTGTACGTTTGTACCTTTGAAAGCAGGGGAGAAAAAGGAGACAGAGATTTGTTGATTCATAAAAATAAAGGAACACTCTGGCCCATTTGGGCAGTTCTTTTTTAGTCTTAGAATTTACTGTGCATATGCATTTATTCATTCAGTAATCAATAAATATTTATGAAGGGCCTACATTACATCAGGAGCTCTGCTGAAATATTGAGGATACATTAGTGAAAGCTGCCCTCCTTGAGTTTAGCTGCTGGTTGGGGAGACTGGTAAACATATAGGGATTTTTGATCCCTTGCAATGTGCAGAATGGAAGGAGCTCAATAAATAGTAACCATGATCACTGCTAATGTTACTACTACTACTGCTGCCACTATTGCTACTGTGATGCTACCGTTACTACTTCTATTATTACTCCATTTCTATTTTAGCCCTGCTACCCAGCAACTATAAAAGGCCCTGGGCCGGGTATGGTGGCTCACGCCTGTAATCCCAGCACTTTGGGAGGCCAAGGCAGGTGGATCACGAGGTCAGGAGATCGAGACCATCCTGGCTAACACGGTGAACCCTGTCTCTACTAAAAATACAGAAAATTAATTTGGCATGGTGGCATGCGGTAGTCCCAGCTATTCAGGAGCCTGAGACAGGAGAATTGCTTGAACCCAGGAGGTGGAGGTTGTAGTGAACCGAGATCGCGCCACTGCACTTCAGCCTGGGTGACAGAGTGAGACTCTGTCTCAACAACAAAAGACCCTGGAAAAATTACTGAATTTACTTGGGCCTTTTCTAACCCCATAAAACTAGAGAAAACTGACTAGGTACCTGTTTCTATCTGCAAGATGGCAGTAAGTGTGTTACCAAAACAAACAAACAAAAATGGTGGAGTAGATCAGTGTACAGATATTTTGGGGAATGCTATTTTAAGCAAAGTTTGCTTATTGAAGATTTCCCTGTAGTGTGTTAACATGCATTGTGGATCTCCAAGAACATGCACCAAATTTGTTTGGCTGCCAAATATATTTTTTTTCCCGGTATCTCTCTGTGTTAACAAAAACCAGTTTCTCGGAAATAACATCTCTTGTTCTGGGGAATGGATCTTTTCCCTCTCAATAAAGAACTACATAATTTTCTAAGTATTTTGCATCTTGAATGTTCTGTGACTCTACTATGTCTTAAGGTCTTCTGATATTAGGGTAACAATACATTTCAGTGTGTGTGAGATAAATAATTAACAGTGCTCCCTTAAAAAATATTTCCCACTTCAAATAATAAACTACATGGTCACCTTACCTAATACGGTGATCTTAACTCATTCTCATAGATATTTCTTGGCATATTGCTTCAGTTGCCCACAGAGTTTCTTGACACAAAATACCCATTAAATATTGAATAATAGGAACATCTTCCCTCTCCTAACATCATCTCCTCTTAACAAATTACCACCAATTTCCTTTGAATGATTCTCTGTTAAGTAGAGAACAACGAATAGACTTATACTTCCTTAGCTGTGAGCAGAGCAGGGTCTATGGCACATCTGCTGGGCACCTCACCTGCAATAGAGCTGTGACATATTCACAAGTCTGGGGCATGATCTTTGCCTTCAAGGTATTACTTAAGATCTATTATTGCCTTCAAGATATTTCTTAAAACCTATTAAATCTATTGGGTGGAGTTGTGTATTTGGCAAGATAGTTTATAATGTAGAAAATGTATAAATTAACCAACAATCCCCATAATTGTTTATTATATTTATCATACATCTCTGCCTTAGGGGCAATATATGTATTATTTAGCCCGTGGAGCAATAGTCTGAATAAAAGCATGTGTGTTGGATGAGGGCTGATTGGCTCCTGAGTTTCCATATTTGTGACATCAATTCGATATTAACTTACTCCGTTTTTTTTTCACCCTTTTCACCCCTCATCTTTCCTCTTGTTTCTAGTGACAATGAGAAACTCTGGTCTCAGTGGGATGGAAATAGAGCCTGGAAGAAATGGGAAACTTTAATATCTGGATGGATTCCTTAAACAGGTAACAGAAACTATAGCCTGAAAGCCAAACTGATTTTGATTGACAAGAACCGGACTTTAAGGGGGAAATAATAAAATACATTCTTAGGGACTAAAGAAGATGGGGCTTGACTATGAAGAACTAAGCTTAGAACACTATGCACGAGATTTGTACCAAACACATTAAAGGAAAAAGAAAATCTAGACGACATCATAATTTCCCCGCCACGCAAAAAAGAAATGTGAAGGTAGAATTCGGCTGATTTGAGAATGCTGGGGGAAGACGGAAATGTGCGTGCTCTGCATGCCCCAGAAATCTTCACACCTTTTACTCCTTATCCACTGAATGCTAGGGAAGAAGAAGAAGATGGAACAGATACTTCGAGGGGATCCAGCAGCAGGAAGGTTGCACCTCACTCTCCGGGGTAAAGCCTGGGAAGGCTAATGGGCTTTTAGGGAAACTATGTTCAGCATGGCCCTGGCACCATGGAGCTTCTAGTCTGGACAGGAAATTTGAGGAGCTTTCTCTCTGGGGTTGGTGGTAGCCACGTGAATTTTACCATTCCCAGCATGGTCCAAGAAATACATCCAGAAGTTCTGGAACATCCTCCTCTCTACAGGGGGACTAAAAATATACTGAGAAGCCCAGCGGATTGGGAGTTGCCTGGGGTTAGGACCAGAAGTGAGAGATTTGATGAGGTCCCAGAGAAAAAGACCCGGCAGCCGGGCAGGTCAGATGAAACCTCCGCAGGTGCCACAGTTCAACATCTACGGTTCCGGAGGGCACGTGGCAGGGAGGGGAGGAGGGGCAGCGGAGGCCGGAGGGCACAGGGGTCAGAAGCCCCTGCTCTGATGCCAGGATAGTACGCGTCTCGTTGGACACAAGATGAGAGATTGGAGCAAATGACAAGAAAAAGAGAAGGGGAGAATTTTGAGTCAAGACTGTTTATTTAAGGGAGACGTGTTTAAATTGCAAGCGATTGCAATTGTGGAACTGACGATTTTAAACAAATTTTCCCAGCATCCCCCTGAAGTAAAAGCTTGAAAAATAAAGTCCACCTGGGTGGTGACTGTCAAGACAGGCCCTGCCCCGTGGGCACTGGCTGAGGAATTTGGTGTATTCCACACATGCCGGAGTTTCCAAGGAGGAAACGTGTTTGAAGTCCAAAGAACAAGGACGGCCTCTGCTTGCTAATCAGGTAAATATTCATCCGAAAAAGCAAGATTTTGTTATAGATTGTAAACAGAAGTTTGACCTGCTCTAGCTTCCTAAGAATGAAGTGTTTCTATGTGCCTATTTCTCTAGGGTTTGTAGCTTAATGAGGTCTTGCCTTGGAACCTGATGAACATATCACTTCCTTTGAACTCTGTGGGTAAATGGAATCCTCTGACAGTCCATCTGTTTTCTATTTCGGTTTTCTGCCTCTTGGTTTCAAAGCACACGTTCCCCGTGACCTGTTACCTGTTGCTGAACCTTGTTCCAGTGCACAGCGGCCTCTCGCGCATCCCCACCCACCCGTCGGGTTGGGAACTGGTCAAAACCATCATCCTTCCGTTTTGCCATCATGGCATTGACGGGTATTTAGGGTTTGGAGTTCGTTGAATTTAAACTGATACACCTACAGCCATAACTGGCTTTAAGAATTAATTCTTCTATTGAAAAGTAAGCGTAAATTGGATTGTTTATAAATTAAATCGCTTAAATTTATCCTAAAGCGGCCTGAGGAAAGAAATCTACTTGTCAGTGCTTTTGAAAAAGTAACAGATTACTTTATGGATTGTTAATTACCATTTATTCATTGATTCCGTCAAGCACCTTTTTTTGTGTAGGGCACTGTGCTAGGTGCTTAACTTATCTTTGCTCTAAATTCATTTTGCCAAGTATGGAGTTTGCACTAAGATATCCTTGTTGCTGTCCTCTGTATAGTGATAGAGGGGTCCCATCTAAAGGATGACCAGAGAAAATGTACAAATATATATTTTAAAGAAGGTGATAGTCTTCCCTTTGCGCGCTTTAAAATCCCTACCTCGTTATTTTTTGTATTTCACCTCTACTCCAAAGATCCCTGAATTGCTGGAAGCAGTACAAACTTGGCCAAGTCAGTTACATGACCAGGCAGTGAGCGTGGATTTTTGTGCCAGCTTCCATAGGTGGGCCTGCTCTCAGAGGTGGGATCACTTCCTGTTCTCAGAGGTGGGATCACTTCCTGCTCTCAGAGGGAGGATCACTTCCACCTCACATTCTTTCTTTGGCAAGAATTTGAAAGCTGAAAAAGAACAATGGCATTTTGGCCCGTCACAAATTTCAGCAGGGTGGATTATTTCTTATTAAGCTGTTGGAATTTTGTTTTTTCATTCAGTGAACATTAGTACCTACACTGTGTCAAACACTGTTAGATGTTGTAGATACACAGATATACCTGAGAATAAGACTGTCTTCAAAGGGTTCATGGCTGATGGTAGGAAACAAACACATGAATAACTCGTTAAATGCACCATTTATTTATTTATTCAACAACTCTTTATTAATGCTTATATGTTAGATAAATATTTTATTAGAGATTATTTACAAAGTGCTTGGTGGAGAGAAATGAGAGACTTCACTTGTCATGCAGAGGTGGGATGGGAACTGCAGAGAGCTATTAGGATCAGCTTTTAGAGAAGAAGATAATTGAATTGAGCCTTGAAATCAGGTGGGGAAAGGACTACAAGCATCAGCATCGAGGTTTGGCAGGTGAACATGGATAACGAGGATAAATAATGTACAACCGTGTCTTAGGCTAAAATCAAATTCCTGCTCAGGAATTAGGGGCATAAGCAAATAAGCAGGGGGGATCTTTATTTCTGTAGGGGCTGCTTTGCCAGAAACCTCGAATACTACGTCTAGCAGATTCAGCTTTTATTAATCACTCACTCACTATTTGGAATCAGCCACTTTTTTTTTTTTTTTTTTTTTTTTTGAGACGGAGTCTCGCTCTGTCGCCCATGCTGGAGTGCAGTGGTGTGATCTTGGCTCACCACAACCTCCGCCTCCTAGGTTCAAATGATTCTCCTGCCTCAGCCTCCCGAGTAGCTGGGACTACAGGCGCATGCTACCATGCCCAGCTTTGGAATAAGCCATTTCTAGTCATTAAAGAGGGGTATTCATCAGCTTTGATTGGCAGTTTTGCCAGGTTCTGCCAGTTCCCTAGTGCCCATCAGATACTCACAGTGCACTTAGAATAAAGACTCCACTGCTGTATTAGTCAGTTTTCACGCTGCTGATAAAGACATACCTGAGACTGGGTAGTTTATAAAGAAAAAGAGGTTTAATGGACTCACAGTTCCACGTGGCTGGGGAGGCCTCACAATCATGGCAGAAGATGAAAGGCATGTCTTACATGGCGGCAGGCAAGAGAGAATGAGAACGAAGTGAAAGGGTTTCCCCTTATAAAACCATCAGATCTTGTGAGACTTATTCACTACCATGAGAACAGTATGGGGGAAAATGCCCCCATGATTCAATTATCTCCCACTGGGACCCTCCCACAACCCGTGGGAATTATGGGAGCTACAATTCAAGACGAGATTTGGGTGGGGACACAGCCAAACCAAATCAGCTGCCCAGACTCTTTTGCCACTCTCGGTGGTCATCTGATGAAGCTCTCGCCAGTGAATTTGGGTCTTCCAGGAAGGTGCGTTCTGAGATCTGACCTACGGGGAGGTGTTCCCCTTGGGTTCTCCGTGTCCTCTTCACTGATTTTTTAGCCACTGGGCACAGGAAGCACAGTGCCTGGAATCCACAAAAGACTTTTAGGGGCTCTGAAAAAGTTTTCATTCTTTTTAAAATCAGAAGGAAAAAAATGAATAAAGAAAATGTTTTACCATAATATTAATATGCCTGTCTATACCAATATAGCCGTAAAATATCATTTTTAATATTTACCTGAGGATTCATGAAGGCAAAAGTGCCCAGGGCTAGCAAAAGTCAGAATGCAGCTCTAGTTGGAGCAACCCTTTGAGGAGAACAGAGCGAGTAGGCGGGGCCACCATGCAGCACTCAGCAGCTCACCTGCAGATGTCAAGTGTGTGCTGCGTACACCCCCATGTGTTTCAGCTGCTGTATGAGGGTTTCTGTTGTATGCAGCTATTTGAAATTTCTAATGAACACAGCCATTCCCCCCCAACTGACCCCTGCCCAGCTTCTAAGTGACTGAATGGAAATGGTAGCAAGGGAGCTTCCCTGACTGTGCACACACCCCAGCACCTCTCACGGGATTGGCTGAAGAGCTTTGCTATTTCAGGTTGGGTCAACAGGATATTGCACTCCAGGATTTTTTATTTAAATTTTTTTTCAGTGTATCTCTCTAGTGTAGGGCTATGGCCCAAAAGTGGGCTTAGTAGTATTGCACCTATGCACAAATCAATTCCAAACAACATTTTGGAAGTTTTAGATGTTTTCTCACTTCAAAATCACCCAGCAGAGGAAACTGCCTCTTTTCCTATGGACGATCTACTTAAGGAACAAGTGTTTTTCTCCTCGATAGGCCCTAGCGTCCTTTCCTCAGTCTCCCGCTTCATTTTTAAAGCCAACGCTGGGCTCTTATTCTGCCCTGCACCCTCATATCCCGTTGGCACCTGGCTCAAGTGGAAAAAGCCCCTAGTCCGCACGTAATCTCACTTAAAGAGAAGTAACAAAATTCATCTGAGCTGACTTCTTCGGAAACCGGTGATTTCCACCTCTTTTTAAGCTCCTTCCAGTGCCTGCCATGGCTGGCGTTAATAAGAACGCCGGCCCCTCATTTCAGAACTTTCTCTGGTTTCCTGATTTGGATATGAATGAGATGACAGTAATAAGAGGCCACCGAGATCGCAGACTCATTGAAACACGTTCTTTAGTTGAAGTGGAGAAAGGCTTGGAGAGGCGCCTTCTGAAAGAGCGTCGGTCCTCCTCGGCATCTTGTAATTTATCTACATCATCTTAAAGGGTGTTTGAGAAAAGTTTGGTGGATCATAAAGAATCAGTAGAAACATTCAGAGTAACAGAGCATTTCTCTCTCTGTCCTTCTGTCTCAGTTTCTGCCTCTCTCTTTCTTCTAAGCTTAGCATCAACAAGAGTAGGCCAGATTGAGCCTGTCTTGTGTTCACTTACTGAAGCAGTTTCTGTACCGCGCTGGTTCTCAGTGTATCAGTGAAAGCTAAAATATCACCTTGCAACATTTTGGCTTCAAGCCTCGATCACGACAAATCTGAGAGCAGAGAAAGGTTACTTGGTAAAAGAACTATGCTTGAGCAAAGGGAGCCTGATTATTGCAGAGAAAATGAAAGAAAAACATACTAAAGTAGGTCTCAAATGGAAATGGAGTGAAGGAGAAATGAGCCTTCATTTGTGAAGCAAAACGAAGAGACAGAATTAGTTACCTCAAGGTGTAAACTGTGGACCAGATGAATCAGAAGCACAGAAATATTCAAGGGCATGTGCAAAGATGGGAGGGTGACGTGTCGCACGGCGCACACACACAGCAGAATGTGGGTCGAACGTGCCCGGCGGGCTGCAGGCCCAGGAAACCCCCACATTCCCGGCCTGAATTCAGTCCAGAGGAGGCTGGCTGGTGTTTGCTGTTGCATCATGCCTGCAGGAGAGCAAACGAGTCTTCTTTATCTTTTTCTCCTTCCCCTCCTCTTTTCCCCTTTCCTCTCTGTTTCTTCCTCTTCCTCTTCCTTCTCTACTTCTTCCTCCTCCCATTACTCCTCCTCTCCACTCTTTTCTATATCTCCTCGTTTCCTTTAGAGGCTGATCAGTGGCGTTACGCTGAAGAAGGCCTGCTCTGGTGTTGCTCTGTCGGCTTTATTGATATGTACTTAAATCTTACTTTTATTATATCCTAGGGTGGTAGAAGGTACTCAATTATATCCATGAGGTTTCTGCAGCTGTTACATAATTGTTACACGCCCCATCACGCTTTATTGCCAGACAATTGACTGCTTTGGGAGCTGTACCTGTAAGGTATTTAAAAAGTAAGAAATAATGTTATTAATGGTTTCTTGGTAAGAGGCTCAACATCATTTCAAAACAAACTTTGGGCCTTTGTTTTATTTTTTTTCCAACGGAACTGCAGCATCTCTGAGTCTTGTGCAGCTGGCCAATGTGATGGCATTTATAGTGAAGGGTCCATGAATGCTTCATGACGGTGCCTCTCTCCCACTGGTGAATTATGTACATTTATGTGGCGTTAAAGCCCTCAAATGGCCCCGTGGAGGCGTGGATCTCAGGGAGTTGAGGCTGCCTGAAAACGCCTTGCAGGTGGCCTCAGCCAACCCATGGGGCGAGATGTTCCTTTCCCTTTCCAAAGCACACAGCGAAGTAAAAACCAAATACCAATGCGGTTTATGTCCCCTCAAAATTCCTATGTTGAAATCCTTCCCTCAAGGGGATGGTATTAGGAGGTGGGGCCTTTGGGAGCCGCTTAGGTTGTGAGGATGAAGTGAAGCCACCTTAGAAAAGAGGCCCAGGACACGGTGGCTCACACCTGTAATCCCGGTGCTTTGGGAGGCCGAGGCGGGCGGATCACGAGGTCGGGAGTTCAAGACCATCCTGGCCAACATGGTGAACCCTGTCTCTACTAAAAAAAATACAAAAATTAGCTGGGCATGGCGGCACGTGCCTGTAATCCCAGCTACTCGGGAGACTGAGGCAGGAGAATTGCTTGAGCAGGGACCCAGCAGGCAGAGATTGCAGTGAGCCGATATCATGCCACTGCACTCCAGCCTGGGCTACAGAGCAAGACTCCATCTCAAAAAAAAAAAAAAAGAAAAGAAAAGAGGCCCAGGAGAGACCCTCACCCCTCCTGCTAGAGTGAGAAGATAGCTGTCTATGCGTGAACAGCAGGCAAACTGCAGGTGCCTTGGACTTGGACTTCTCAGCCTCCAGAATGGTGAGAAATAAATTTCTGTAGTTATAAACTACCCAGAGTGTGCTGTCTTGTTATACCAGCCTGAAGGGACTAAGACAACCAATCACAACAATGGAGAGCAAAGCAACACCCTTCCTGGGAACATGACGGGGTGTTTCCAATTGTGATGACTAGATTGCAGTTTAAAAGTATATGAATTGAGCCCTCATTTGTGCTTTTATAGTTCTTTATATAGATTTTGACCATTAAACTTATAATCACTTCGTTTGTTTACTTTAAATAGTTTTGGGTTGCCCTTTCTTTATAGCCACCGTGAGCTCTTGGGGTGAAGGATAAGGCCCGAGAGCCACAGTGCTGAAAAGCATGACAAGTACAGGCTCTGGCAGATCCAAGGGCAACTCCAGCTGGTCTGCAGAGTGGCTGTGTGACTTTGGGCAAATTATAGGCCTCTCTGAGACTCTGTCTTTTTCTGTGCAAAATCAGGCCAGTGCCTACTGCATTTGTCTGTGGTAAAGATTCAATAATAGATTTAAACTGCCTACCTCAGAACCCGAAACCAAGTAGGTGCTCAAGAATGGTTAGCTGCGTTAAATTGAATTAAATGCATAATTTGCTTTATTTGGACACAGGCCATTACCAGTTAAATGATTCTAACAACACCAACATAAGATATCAAAACTAAAAATCTTTTCCCTAGAAATAATGTTTCACTTCATCCTGCATTTGAAAATCCTTTATTTTATCCTGTAAGAAATTCTCTCAGAAACCTAATTTATCTAGAATTTCAAGGGCCAAGCTTAATTTCTGTAACCATATAGTTTCGTTCTGCCATAATTATATGTCTTTTAAGAAACATTCCATGAGTTGTCCTTGTAGCCCAAATGTATCCGTTTTTGTTAACTCTGGAAAGTGCAAGTCTAGGGTATTTCACTTTTGGAAACAGGACTTGATACAATGAGCCATGAAGATTTGACATGCTGGGGTTGTGTCTCCTAAGAGAAAATCAACTCTGTAATGTGGTTCCAGACCGAGACGGGAATCACAGCGTGTCCCCTTGAGCTGACAGCATTGTGAGGGGGAGTGTGGGGAGTCAGGAAGGGTTCACCATTAGGCTAGGAGGGGTGGGTTGTTCTCCTGAGAATGGGGCTGCAATGTTTTTGGAAATAAGTGGGCCCCTTGGGCTTGTCTCCTTGGTTTTGTCCAGGCTCAGTGGAGCACTGTTGGCTGGGAGGAAACATGGCCTTCGATGTTGCCCACTTGGCAGTTTCCACCATTGTTGACTCACTTAGGCTGATGGCAGCTGCCTCTGCTGGGAAGGAAGCGTTTTTCCCACAACATATTAAATGCGGCACTGGAGGATGGCTGGCTGGTCCAGGGGCCGGATCTGGCTCTGTTGCTCACAATGATTCTGTTTGGCAAGCGTTTTTAAAAAGCCTTGGTAAGTTCCAGATGGTGACCACTTGCCTCATTTATCCTCCATTTGAAAAATTTCAAAAACTATTCATTTGTTTGCATACCAAGGCAGTACAGAATCTTCTACAGTGGCACTTCGATGGTAAGAATTGGGGTTTTTTTCCTGTGATTCTTTCCTCCGTGTTGTGGTTTATTTAGCAGTGATTGGCTTCTTTGTCTGCTTTTAGAATTGGGTATATGTTTGGATCAGCTGTATGCATTAGGACCCATTGTATGCATTAGTATCAGCTGAATACATTAGGGTCAGTCATATGTATTAGGACCAGCTATATGCATTATGGTCAGCTATATGCCTCAAGGTCTGCTATCTGCATCAGGGTCAGCTATATGCACCAGTTATGTGCATTGAAAACAGTTATATGCGTTACAGTCAGCTCTGTGCATCAAAGTCAGCTGTATGCATCAGGGTCAGGTACATGCATCAGGGTCAGCTCCATGCATCAGGGTCAGCTCCATGCATCAAGGTCAGATATATGCATCAGGGTTGGCTGTGTGCGTCAAAGTCAGCTATATGCATCAGGTTCAGGTATATGCATCAGGGTTAGTATATGCATTAAGGTCAGCTATATGCATCAGGTCAGCTATATGCATTGGGATCAGCTATATGTATCAGGTCGGCTAAATGCATCAGGATGAGCTATATGCATCAGGATCAGTTATATGTACCAGGGTCAGCTATATATGCATCAGGTCAGCTATACGTGTCAGGGTCAACTATATGCATAGGCTCAGCTATATGCATCAGCGTCAGCTATATGCATCAGGGTCGGCTATATGCATCAGGTCAGCTATATGCATCAGGTCAGCTATATGCATTAGGGTCAGCTATATGCATCAGGGTCAGCTATATGCATCGGGTCAACTATATGCATGGGGTCAGCTATATGCATCAGGTCAGCTGTACACCTTAGGGCCATTTATGCACATGAAGGCCAGTGATCTGCATGTCCCTGCTCTTTAATCTGGCAGCTCTTCCCCAGCCAATGATCTATCAATGCCTACCTGAAAAGTGACACCTTCTGTGGGGCAATTTATAATCCCTGCTGCTTTGCTCGATAGTTTGAAACAAAGCTACATATAGGACTTATTTGCATGAAACACATAATGTGGGTGGCCCAACTTTGGGTATTCCTCCCCACCACCTCCACTGAAAGGCCCTAAATCCACATTTGTCACACGCCCACCTGCTATGAGAATACAATTAAATACCAAATTCTATTCAAGTTTATTCTTTTAAAAGCCCCAGAAAAGCTTTAAAACCAGACACCAACAAAGCCAATAAAAAGAAAAGAAAGTTTTATAGTAAACCAGGGAAAAGTATAAAAGAAAAAATATAAAAGAAAAAAATAGGTAAGCAGCATGTTGAAAAGACAGGAAGTCTTTCCAGAAAAGTAAATCAATGTAGAAAAAGGAGTCATTCAGAAAACGTTGACGTATCATAAGAGAAAAATAGTAGGTAAAGAATTAAATTGACAAAAAGTCAATAAGAAATGTGAAAAAAAATCGGTATAAAGCAGCTCACACACAATGCAGAATTGGAGGTTTCCATTGCTAAAGAAGCCTTGCTCTGACTGAACAGCAGCCCAAAATCAAGGCCAGGGGTTCCTATGCTTCCAGGATGCCAAATGCTCCCCTAGGAATGTGATCATTCAGATTGGGTTCTAAAGCTGAAGGGCTTTACTGCTTTTCTAATTTACTAGAAATACACAAATACAACTAAGGAAAGTGAGAGAGAGATCGCTTTTTGAAGGCAAATTCCTTTTCTCTCATCCCTAGCTCTGCTGGCCAGAGCACAGGTTGAATCTCAAGAGGACCCTGAACTCTAGCAGGAGAGCCTAGAGCAGGTCTCTGAGTTTCTTACAGAGCCGTATGGAGCTGCTACTGTTTCCAAAGGGGTTTCAGTTCTCTCCAAGCATCCTGACTATATGACCACGAGCTACTGCTTAACAAACAGCTGCGGTGGGCTTGGAAGGCATGGGTTCCTGATGCAGGCCTCTAGAAGGTTCCAGTGAGGTCCTGATGGGCCCCCTACAGCATCCTCATGGTCATGCTGTGTTCTTGTCTCGAGCAAGGAACCACTGCCATTATGGCAGGGGGCACCACTTATGACATTTGCAAACCCATTAGCATTGCTGTAGTTTATAAAAGCCTGATGGCAGTGGGAAAAGAAAAGGTTACAGGGAAGCTATAAAGGAAAGAAGAAAATTAAGGAGAGCTTTCTCCTTTCACTTCTTGCTTTTGTGGCTTTTGCCCTTCCCTGCACTCTGGAATTACCATTGTTGGCAAAAGTGATTGGTTGAGTTCTTGAATATAAACATGGCTGGACTTCTCTTTATATTTGTGGAGGAATTCCCAATGCCTGGAATTTGTAATATGAGTTTTTGATTTATAATCAGAATTTGAGGGATAAGTCTAAGAAATGACTATAGGAATTGATTATGGATGAGTAGTATTTGTCAAGTTTACAGATTTAGTCAGGAAATGCTCATTAAGTTTCTATTCTACTCCAGGTTTAGGTATTGGGAATGGAGCACAGAAAGAGGCAGACAAGTGCCCAGTACTAGTAGAGCTTCTATTCCAGTGGGGAGAAGTCAACAGTCAAGATAGAAGTCAGGGTAATGCAAGTTGTAGGCCATCAGAACTGCAAGAGACACCAGCTGTCTGTAATGCAATAGAGTGCTGCGGTGGCCATGTGAGTCTGACTAAAATAAGGAGAAGGAGTCAACAGTAAGAACGGGGAGAGCTGCTGAGAAGGCTTCAGGTGGGAATGGATTTATTCTGCTTGAGCAAAAGAAAGCAGGCCGGGTAGGCTAGAGTGTAGGCTAAGACAGAGGGACATATGACATGAGCTCCAGAGGGAGGCGGAAGCCCCGTAGGGCTCTCCTTTAAAAATAGACTTGCAGATGATGGATAACTAAAGCTGTCACGAAAACCTTGATGTGGAGCTACCAATACTGGGCAATGACTGCCGAGTACAATACCAGGCTCTTTATGTTCATAATTTCTAATCTTCAGGCCAGCCCTGGTAGGCTTTGTAATCCTCATTGTGCAGATGAAGAAACTGATTCTAAGAGGCTTAGTTGTAGGTCATCCAGCTATTAAGTGGCAGAGCTAGGATTTGAATATGGGCCTGCCTTACGTAACACCTTGGCTCAGAACCCTACCCGGGGGCTCTCCAGTCACCTGTGGAGCTGGCTTGACACGGTGCCTGGCTCCTCCAGGGATTCGGATTCTGTAGGTCTGGGGTAGGGCCCAGAGACACATGTATTTTTCAGAATCTCCTCAGGGCATTCAAAAGGTGGCTGCGATTTATAGCAGGACTATAGTTGACTCTGTTATTTTCCAAAAAACTTTAAATAATCAAGCAATCAGTTAAGCAAGCAGACAGACAAAAATGAACAAAACCCCTAAGTCTGGTAGGAGCCAGGGGTGTACTCTTTAAATCCAGGGTCAGACACAGCAAGCATGAGCCTATCTTCCCAGTCTAACCCACCATGGCTCTTAGACACTCAGTAATAAAGTGGTCATTATCCTTTGTTTAAAACTCTCTTTCTCTTTACTGAGGATATCAGGCAATACCACAGACTCGCAGGAGCTGATAAAGGAATGTCAGATTTTTTTTTTAATTGGTTCTTTTTTTTATTATTATACTTTAAGTTCTAGGGTGCATGTGCACAACGTGCTGGTTTGATACATAGGTGTACCTGTGCCTTGTTGGTTTGCCGCACCCATCAACTCATTTACCTTAGGTATTTCTCCTAATGCTATCCCTCCCCGCTCCCCCCACCCCACGACAGGCCCCAGGGTGTGATGTTCCCCGCCCTGTGTCCATGTGTTCTCATTGTTCAATTCCCACCTATGAGTGAGAACATGCACTGTTTGATTTTCTGTCCTTGTGATAGTTTGCTTAGAACGATGGTTTCCAGCTTCATCCATGTCCCTGCAAAGGACATGAACTCATCCTTTTTTATGGCTGCATAGTATTCCATGGTGTATATGTGCCACATTTTCTTAATCCAGTCTATCACTGATGGACATTTGGGTTGGTTCCAAGTCTTTGCTATTGTGAATAGTGCTGCAATAAACATACGTGTGCATGTGTCTTTATAGTAGCATGATTTATAATCCTTTGGGTATATACCCAGTAATGGAATGGCTGGGTCAAATGGTAATTCTAGTTCTAGATCCTTGAGGAATCGCCACACTGTATTCCAGAATGGTTGAACTAATTTACACTCCCACCAACAGTATAAAAGCATTCCTATTTCTCCACAAGGAATGCCAGATTTTGTAGTAATAATAAATTTTTGTGCAGAAATATATATGTGGTACAGTAATAGTGAAATGACAGACAGAAGGGTTTCGGCATGGGCTGCCCATTTTCCCCTGGACCCCATCACATATGCTGCAAATCTTAGACATCTGCAGATATGTGTATGTGAAGCTTGAGCTGCAACCTGTCCATATTGTATTTTATTTTTGTTTTTGCAATTCACTCTCATTTTTATTTGCTCGGCAAACATGTTGTCTCTATTACATAATTGAAGAGCAACCAGAGGTTCCTATTAATGAATAGTTAGCGCTAAGGATCTGTAATCACAGATTCTTACAGGAGATGATGGAAAATGCCAAGCAACTTTAGAAGAGTTTCCTTCAGAAGAGCTGTTTCAGAGCCTGCTGTGTAAGGAGGCTGTGTCTGTTGTTCGGATTAAAGTTTGTGAGAATGAATTTTCTCACTGGTTTGAAGTACTTAATGATATTCACGATATGAAGTAAAATATATACATGTTCACTTTCCTTCAAAAATATATTTGATCTTTTACTGTGTGTAAAATCGTCTCTTAAATATTGGGGAGGGGAAGAGAGATGAATCAGACCTGAATCCTCTTACAAGCAAGATTGTTGTCTGGGAGGAGAATAGAGACAGATAAACCAGCTCTACTGTGAGGAAGAAGGTAGTGGCTGGAGGAAAGCAGAGATTGCACTATCGTAAAAAGCTGAATGAAGGACAGTTACCCAGAGGAGACAATGTTCAAGCTGGGTCTTGAAGGATGTGTGCCAACAGATGTCCCCACTTCCCATGTTCAAAACTGAACTCCTAATCTTGCCTCCTCTTCCCAGCCCTCCACAGCCCTCAGTGCTGACTGCGTCCTTCCTGTAGCTCAGGCTATACACCTGGAGTCCTCTTTCTCAATCCTTCAGCAAATTATATCTGCTACATCTTGAAAATACGTCCTAATGAGGCTCAGATGGAATCATTGTCTTGTCCAAATCGTGTGTCAGTGATGAAGCCAGCATTTGAACCCAAACTGCCTTACTCCAGAACTCATTCTCTGTATTGCTCCCCAAGTGTAACATGGAGGGAGAACATTTATTTTGTGTGTAGAGGCTGATCCCGTATGGAGAGGAGCATTAGCTTCAGACGGTAGATTGGGATCAGATCATGGCGGGATTTAAGCTCTGGGTAGAAGAGCTGGAATTCTATTTCACAAACCACAGAGACGTTTGATAATTTGGGGAGGCAAAGGGTGGAATCCAAATGCTACTTCTGGATGAGTCGTGGCCAGAGTGAGAGGTTGCTTGAAGAGAAGCATCTGGAAGTGGAGGCTCTTCCAAGGGTTGGGATGAGAAGCACTGAGACTCAATGAGCAACGGGACTGGAAAGGAAGCAGTGGAATTGGACATTTCAGAGGTTAATTAAACCTAAGTTTGGAATTTATTGGCTTTGGAGGCAAGGAAGGGATGCTCAATGATCTTTTCCCACTTTCTTTGACACATAATTTACATACAATAAATGCACTGAGATTGAAGTGAACCTGTATGGTTGGAGATAGTGATGTTATTAACAGAACTTTATTTTGGAAGGAAAATGAAGGAGAAGTTCAACTGATTTTGAGGTGCTTACGGGTCATTCTGCTGAAATTATCAAATCAGGCAGATAGAGACATGAGGATGAAGAGGGGTGCCTCAAGATTAAGCATAAGTCACTTAACTTTTACATCAGCAGTATTTCAAATTAAATAATCTGAAATTTCTCCATCAGTAATCCATCACCAGACAATCTGGACAATATGTATTATATAAAAAATATTTTAATTGCAGAATTGAGCTCATCAAGCAGTAAGTTCCAGAAACTATGAATGAAGTAGAAGTCAGATCTAAGACCATGAGCTTAAAGCTGGTATCCTCAAGTGGCTATAGCAAGAGTAGAAAGTTTCAATTAAAAATGTACCCACAAGGGAGGGAGGCCACTACAGAACTTATGTGTCTTAAGTTCTGCACATAAAATAATCTCCTCTAAGTTTTTGTAAGCATAACAGTGCCCTCGAACTACTTATAGGGTTGAAATATATATTACCTATGTGGTCCAGGAGCCCATAAGGCAAAATAATTATTTAAAAAGTGATCCTAGGCTGGTAATACTCCTGGAGCACCTGATAAAATTCAACACAAAAGAGCTATAGTTTTATATCTTCATCCAAGGTTACAAAAGACTCCCTCCGATAAAGTCCAGCTGAAGATGTGTTTCTGCAAGGAACAACTCCAGTATGAACAACAGGCATAGGACAGTGTAATGTTGGTAGAAGGAATAGAAACATAGAAGGATGGAAGAGAATGGAGAGCCCAGCATTAGACTGCAAGATTTCAGAAAACAGCACACAAAATTGGTAGAGAAAAGGATATAAATTCACTAACCATCGTGGAAATCGGTTACTATATTTTAGAAAGGTAGATTATGTCTGTACCTCCCTCTGTACACCAAAATCAATGAAAACAGTACAACTTTCAGAAGATAAGGAGAACATATTTCTGATCTTATAGTAAAAAGTGATCTCTTAAATATGATATACTAAGGACAAACCTTAAAAGATTATGAAAATTAAAACTTCTTTACAATGAGAT
The DNA here is from genome assembly GCF_000001405.40 of Homo sapiens. Classification (NCBI taxonomy): domain Eukaryota; kingdom Metazoa; phylum Chordata; class Mammalia; order Primates; family Hominidae; genus Homo; species Homo sapiens. The sequence continues at coordinate 163,933,985 of NC_000006.12, forward strand.
GACTAAAAGGGCTAAGAACATTGGAAGAAGATATTCGCGAATGCCTAGAATCCACACAGGATTAGCATCCAGAGTTTATGATGAAATCCAACAATTCAACGAAACAAACCAAGTAAAAATTAAACTATATAAACACAATTTAAAAAAAAGATAACCTAAATGGCCAATAATATATGAAAGGATGTTCAACCTTTTGATTTAATGCAGATTAAGGTAATAGTGTGATGTAATTTGAAACCTGGAACTCTGACATGACAAGCTTAGGTATAGGCAGAGCCGTAGGGCACCTCAAACACTGCTGCTGAGAACATTAATTGTTGCATCTTTTGGGGAGCAATTCAGCAAAAGTAGTAATACTGAATATGGTCCTATCTGTGATACCACAATGTCCCTCCTGGGGACATACCCTGGACTTCAGGACTTGGAAAGACTCTTCTACACACAGCAGATAAATCATGGAAGCCACAGGGTATACAGAGATACAAGAAGGCATCAAAGATGGATCTTTGCAGAACCTCTGCCTGAAGGAGACAGAAGGGGCATCTGGAAAGAAAGGAGGAGACCTCAGAACACAGGTCAGGGCTGCCAAAGACAGAGAATGCCAGGAAAGAGGATTGGCCTGTTGTATCCAATACCACTGAGTTTAGGGAGGAGGATGTCTTCAAAGGGTCTGTTGAATTTGTTTGTTGAAAACCATTGAGGAAAATCTTGAAAGAACTCTACGCAGAGTGATGAGGACGATATGACAGGGATTAGCCTATGTGTATTGAGAGGGCGTGGGAGCCTGAGTGGTCGTTTGAGTTAAATGTTGCGCTTAAGAAAAGTAGATGAGTTATTCAGTAAGACTGGTTGTGAGAAGAAGGAGGAAAATCAACTTATTCACTTGTGGATATGTCAGGATCAAAGGAAAGATGGTTTTGTTTTCTGGAGACCTGAGACAAGCTGTTTACAGAGAAGTCGAGAGAATAAAGTTACAAGAGGAACAAGAGTGATAGAGTGGGACCCGTATCTGTAAGATTTGATTTCTGCTGAGAAAAAAATAAAAAGAGGTGTTTTTATATACTTTGAATTGGAATTTGCATACATTGGAAAGTAAGGAAATTTTACAGAATGAAACCCTAAAGGGTGTTCAAGTGCTTAGTAACTGTGATTCCAGGACCAGATGACATGTGAAAATTACGTTGTTTTTAATTGCACTCATCTCAAGATTTTTTTCTTTTGTCTTCTTCTGGATTTTTGTTTGTTTGTTCTTAGTCAGGCAAGGAAATAGTTTCATTTTAAGATCTTGGGAACTGAGGGGTGGAATGCTGTCTGTATTTTCTTCACAAACTTTTGGCAAGAGTTCAGATTTACCTTGTGGAATGTATTATATGCAACTATGGTATTCAGAACAGGACTTTGTTTGTCTTAACAATCCTTTTTTTTTCTTTTACTAGTGGGAGAAAGTCAGGGACAAAATTCAAATTGCATTTCTTTCCATGACATTTTTAAAAAATATAAATGCACCCTGGTGGTCTCTCTTCTGGGTTGGACAGAGCTGGTTTCCTCAGCCCCGGCCTGGCTTCCTGTGTCCCAGCTGCTTCCTGCCCCTGCGTGGCCTATGCATCCCGGATGCTGCTGTGGGTCCTTCTGCCCAGCCTTGGCTGCCCGCATAGCAGAGCCTCTGACTCCCAGCTTAGTGCTCATAACATAAAGGCACTAATAGCCCCAGAGAGCTTGACTTCAAGACCTCTCTCTGAAATCATATTGCAATAGCAGGTCGTCTTGTCCACAGAAGCCTCAAAGTAAACCTCTTCCCGGGGAACATCACACTCTGGGGACTGTTGTGGGGTGGGGGGACGGGGAAGGGATAGCATTAGGAGATATACCTAATGCTAAATGACGAGTTAATGGGTGCAGCACACCAGCATGGCGCATGTATACATATGTAACTAACCTGCACATTGTGCACATGTACCCTAAAACTTAAAGTATAATAATAATAAAATAAAATAAAAAGAAAACCTCTTCCCAGAGCCCCAAGGGGGACATCAGGGTATATGGGGGTGGTGGCAAGAGAGGCCCTGGTTTCTGTGTTATCCTCACCCATCTGAAGTTCTCCGCTCTCTCAGGGTATAGCCTAGAGATTTCTACCTTTGACTCTCTACTCTTATATTTTCTTCTTGATGTTTTCAGTATATCCTAGACCATAACTAAGTAGCAGACTTCTTTTCCTTGTCTCATGTCATTTTTTACAAGTAGTAGAAGCACAGATCTCATCCTAAGTGAAAGGGGGACCATGTCCGAACTCTAGGAGAGAGGGGCACGGATGCGGGTCTTCTGGTCCTGGTTTTTGATGCGCTAAAGGAGGAGATAAAATAGTAGTGCTTCCTCTCCAAACAGTATTTGGTTCATGAGCTCAATATTCAAAATATTGAACAATTCAACAATATTTAGTTATTGTGCTACAGAATCTTATTTTACTATAAAAAGCTGTAAAGCTACAAAGAAAAAAATATTATACAGATTGTTGGTTTTACCCCCTAAATCCATTCTTCTACAAGCCAAAAATAAAAGTCAAAGCATGTCAGCCAACTGATGGGCCCTCCCCTTGGCCAAGGGCATTCCAAAGTTAATCTGAAAAATGAATTCAGGCCACAGTGGGAAGTGGGGGTAAGATATGCCTCATGATCCCTTCCTTTCTTTGGAATTCAGGCATAGCTGACCAGCATTAACATTAAAACAGAAACCTTAAGACTGACAAACAGACTCTTTAAGTCTGATAAGAGACATTTAAAATCTATTTTCTCTGAAGCCTGCTGCAGGGAGGCTTCATTTGTGTGATAAAACCTAGATCTCCTGGACCCCGTATCTTAACTCAGATACTCCCTTCTATTGATTCCAGGTCTTTAGATGAACTCTTTCAACCAATTGCCAATCAGAAAATTGCCACCTATGACCTGGATGCTCCCTGCTTTCAGTTTTCCCATCTTTTCTGACAAAACAAATATAAATTTTACATATATTGATTGATATCTTATGTATTTATTGAGGTCTTATGTGTCTCTGAAATGTATAAAACCAAGTTATAGCCTGACCACCTTGGGCACATGTTCTCAGGATCTCCTGAGAGCTGTTTCACGGGCCATTGGCCACTCATATTTGACTCAGAGTAAATCTTTCAAATATTTTATGGAGTCTAACTCTTTTTGTTGACACTTCTTATCTTGCACTCGTGTTAGAATTTCTACATAGGCATGCTGCTGCCTAGCCAGCCCATGCTTCCAAGATTCCCTTGCAGCTCATTTTGGCCATAAGTCTATGTCCTGGCCAGTGGTGTGTACAGAGAGGGATATGTGGAGCTTCCAGGTGGTGCCTCCTCTTCCCTTCTGCTGTCCAGGATACCAATGTGGGATGAGCCAGCATTGGTGCAGAGCATGGTACGTCATGAACCCCACATATCCGAGAGAGGTCTCAGTCAATTTAGTAAGTTTATTTCACCAAAGTTAAGGATGTGTGCCTGTGACAGCCTCAGGAGGTCCTGGTGACATGTCCCCAAGGTGGTCAGGGCACAGTTTGGTTTTATACATTTTAGGGAGACCTGAGACATCAATATGTTAAGATGTATGGTGGTTGGGCTGGAAAGGCAGGACAACTAGAAGTAGGGAGGGGGCTTCCAGGTCGTAGGTAGATAAGAGACAAATGGATGCATTGTTTTGAGTGTCTGATGAGCCTCTCCAAAGGAAGCAATCAGATATGCATTTATCTCAGTGAGCAGAGGGATGACTTTGAATGGAATGGGAGGCAGGTTTGCCCTAAGCAGTTCCCAGGTTGACTTTTCTCCTTAGCTTAGTGATTTTGGGGTCCCAAGATTTGTTTTCCTTTCACAACCTTACGGAAGACAGAGCAACAAGGCAGGAGGAGGGAGCTGCCCTTCCAGCTGGATGTTCCTCTCATCTCAGTATTTTATGAGAGAGAAATAAACTTCCAACTTATTTAAGCTACTGTCATTTATGGTTTCTGTGATAGTGGCCAAACCTATATTCTAACAAATCTGCATGTTGATAACTTTGAAAACATCACCCTGATTAAATTAAGATGGCGTAGTAACACTGAACTTCACAAAACTTCTCAGGATACAGGCCATGCAGACAAGCTGAATAAATGATTAGTGAACCAGATAAATACATAGGAAACATTCTTAAAACATTAAAGTACTTGCAAATTTAAGGTAATGGTACATGCTTATTTAACTTGGTAATCTGGAAGCTAGCCTTATCCCAAAGCCTTTTTTGTCACGTTATTTTTAGTAAGCATGAATGTGAATGCCTACCCTTACGCTAATCCTGGTTGATTAAATGAGGAAGAACCTATCTGTGGGACAATCAACCCAATCAACCCACAGAGGGACATTAGAAGTAGAGGAAGCTTTTGCTGGTGTGACCATTTGGTGAAAGTTGCCTTTAATATTTGAGTCATACATGATTGCAGCAGCTGTGCATTTGATGTTGATAAAAACAAAATAATCTCAGATTGTTTCAGTGAGGGGTCAAAGTAAAATATTGCCATCTTCTATTTATTAACTTATGGGTGGTAGGTGCAGGAGTTAGGTGTAAAGCAGGGCTTTTTTTCCCCATTTTTTTTAATGGTAAGAGTGAACCTGTTTTTGAGGTCATGGTCACAAAATGTGGATGTCAAATTGTGCTGTCTTTCAAAGGGGTTCTCAGGTGCATCTCCGGAATGTATTGTCAGAAAGCTCTGGGGGCCCCCTGTTCAAGAAGTCTTGCTGCCATACTGCCGCACTGATTAGATGTTTTCCAAGCTTCAAGAAGCTGCTTCTTGAAAGGATTGTTTCCCCAAGGCCCAAGAGGAAATGATTCTCACGGGGTTGGGGCTGTCCTGTCCATGACACGCCTGACGCTGTCAGATCTGAACGAATTCACAGACAGACGGACTTGTCACCATGAACTCTGTGTGCGTCATCACCCAGGGCTCAGGTGCAAGGTTGTCCCCTTCTCGCCTGGCCTCTGTGATCGTCTTAGATAGCAATGTTAACTTGCCCTGTTAGTGGAACGGGAAAGTAAAATATTTTCTTATTTCAAGCCTGTGTCAGTCTATTCTTATACTGCCGTAAAGAACTACCTGAGACTGGGTAATTTATGAAGAAAAGAGGTTGGATTGGCTCACAGTTCCACAGGCTGCACAGAAGCATGGCTAGGGAGGCCTCAGGAAGCTTGACAATGGTGGGAGGCAAAGGGGAAGCAGGCACCTTCTTTCCATGGTGACAGGAGAGAGAGTGTGCGGGGGAAAGTGCCACACACTTTTAAACCATCGGGTCTCATGAGAACTTACTACCATGAGAACAGCAAGGAGGAAGTCCGCCTCCATGACCCAATCACCTCCCACCAGACCCCTCCCCTGCTTACAGTTCGAGATGAGATTTGGGTGGCGACACAGAGCCAGACAAAGTCAAACCCTTTGCATTCCAACCAGTCATCCCTAAGTTTCGCTACATTTATTGTGAAGATTTTAAGGTTGTGGCAGCAAATATAGAGAAGTGGTGTGGCCCACCCCAAATCCACAGGAACGAGCTTGGAAGGTACCATCATGCACTGTGTCTCATGGAGTCCCTCTGTTCTAGGTGAAGTCCGACTTTCCCTGGAAGACCGAGGCCTCTCCCCTTGCACCACAGCCTCACTTTATCATCATCCCTCAGCCTCACAGCGGGTTTTCCAAACCTTAGTCCACCAGGTGCTTTCCAGCCCCCGTCCAAAAGGCTGCTCCCATAGCCCACCCAGCCCACTCACCCCCGGAACTCTTCAGGTCCCACCCAGGCTCCTCAAGGGTGGCTTTTGTGCTCCCCACAGCTGTTACCGATTTCCACTGCACCTTGTGCTTTTACCTTGTATTTTATTATGATTCATTACTTTAATGATTATTGGTTTAATATCTTTGCCTCCATTCGACTGGGAGTTTCAAAAATTGTAGAAACTCCATTTGATGTGTTTTGCTACTGTGTCTCTATTGGTCAGTAGTGACATGACGAGTAGTTTTGAATGAATGCGTGTATGCCTTTTAGAGTCCACTAAACCTAGGATTTCCCTGGGTTTCTTGTGGCTCTATGATGTGCTGGGCATGACTAAAAATTCAAGTTGAGTAAGATAGTCCCTATTCTTAAAGACCATATATTCTTGCATTCTTTAGGTCAGCCTCCTGTTTAGAACCCATTGAACTTTTGAATTTAGAATTCACCTGTTGGGAGGCCTTTTTAATAATGCAGGTGTGGGTGAGGAATGTCTCACCTGGAGAAGCTGCAATTGGCATGTATGGAAGGGAAGCTGAGGAGGTTTAAGGAAAGATGAGGTTTGTTAACTGATGCGGACTTGGAGTTGAAATTAAATGAGCAGAGGTGAGGCCAGAGGGCAAAAACAGAAGAAAGAAGGAAGGAGATGAGGACTTAGGAAAGGAAACAGGATCAGGGAAAGAGGTAGGGGAAGCAACAGAAAATGTCAGCATCATGGAAACACAAAAGCAAAGTGCTTCTGATGTGTAATGGGGGCAACAGAATGAAGACCTTCAGGAACATGGTTTTGTGCACTGGTAGGAGTGGGAGTGAGGCCACAGAGGCTGAGGGAAAAAGAGAGGGAGCAGGCAATGTGACTTCAGGCCACCCACTCAAGATTTTATCCTGAGGGGAAGGAAAGAAGGATGGCTCTGCTAACCTCCAGCTGCCTTCCAATGCCAGGACCTGAGAGTGTGAGACTCCCTGGTGGCAACGATGTTTCTCTGGGATGATTTTTATGATGTGTGACTAGAGAAGGTAAATAGAAGATGCAGTGGAGCCCAGCGAAAACCTTTTTGGGACTTCAAGAGACCTACCCATGTTTCAAGGCAGGGGTGTCAAAGGTGATTGAACCAGAGCGACTCCATCTTGAACGGGGGCTGGGTAAAATCAGGCTGACACCTACTGGGCTGCATTCCCAAGAGATTAAGGCATTCTTAGTCACAGGATGAGATAGGAGGTCAGCACAGGGTACAGGTCACAAAGACCCTGCTGATAAAACAGCATGTGGTAAAGAAGCTGGCTAAAACCCACCAAAACCAAAATGGTGACAAAAGTGACAGCTGGTCGTCCTCACTGCTCATTATACACTAATTATAATGCATTAGCATGCTAAAAGACACTCCCTCTAGCGCCATGACAGTTTACAAATGCCATAGCAATGTCAGGAAGTTACCCTATATGGCCTAAAAAGGGGAGGAACCCTCAGTTCTGGGAATTGCCCAGCCGTTTCCTGGAAAACTCATGAATAATCCACCCCTTGTTTAGCATATAATCAAGAAGTCTATAGTCAAGAAGTATAATCAGTTGAGCAGCCTATGCTGCTGCTCTGCTTATGGAGTAGCCAGTCTTTATTTCCTTTACTTTCTTAATAAACTTGCTTTCACTTTCCTGTATGGACTCATCCCAAATTCTTTCTTGTGGGAGGTCCAAGAACCCTCTCTTGGGGACTGGACTGGGACGCCTTTCCTGTAACCGGGAGAACAGGGCCAGTGCTGGGAACTGGCAGGGCCTGGGGTTGGGGTGTGGGGATGGAAGGTTGAACATAGAACACAGAAGGAAGACCCTGAGGGGACCCAGCGCCCTAGAGCACTCTAAGCCAGGGGAAGCCTTTCTTCCTGGAGACAGAAGGAGGAGGGGCACGCTTCCATTGCTCCCCCTTCAAATCCTCTAGGGAACACACTGGTGCTTTTAACAACAATCATCGTGTGTGCAGCCCTCCCTTAACCTGCCTTCCCACACTAGCATGGAATCCCCACGGAGGTGCGGCTCTCACTGGACAAGCACAGACCAAGGTCTGCAGGAGCAGGGTCAAGGGAGGTGCTCTACAGGGAAAAACGCACCGTCTGTGTCTTTGACAGGGCAGTGGGAAACATTTGGAACTGAAGAATAGCGAAAATGAAGGTTCATTTCCAGTGGGTGTGGGAGAAGCCCTTTACCAGTTACTATCAATTATTGCTAGTTACTGATCTGCTCTGGTCTTCAGAGCATCCTGACTCAATGCCTCTTTCTGGGAAGGACGGGAAGGGAGGGGAGTTGGGGGAGAGGAGGAAAGGGAGGAGAGTATGTAATAGTGACCCAGGAAGTAAAGCAACAAGCCCAGGGTTTGCATCTGCTTCACATTTTGAGAAATAATGTTTTAAGTGGATCTTGAACAATTCTATGGGGGAGGACAGAACAGGTGAGTTGGGAGGATGTCAAAGAATCAACACCGATGCCAATGTCCTAACATCTTTGTGATAAAAAGGCATTATATTCATGAGGGAGGTGAATGAGGGAAGAGATGGATTTAAAAATGATTTCTAGCTTTGATGGACAAATCATATTTCTTATTCACCAAAGCTCTAAATGGCTTTCAATCTTTAATAACTCCTTTCATGCCGTATAGTCCAAGAAACCTTTCAAAATGGTAAGATTGCAGCTCAGTTACACATAAATAGGCTGAACTTTTTTTTACAAGTTTGAATTTAAATGATGAAAATTGACATTTTCATCTTGCAAAAGAAAATGAATTGCAGATCTCCTAAATAAATACTTACAAACAAAATGCAAACGTCTTTGAATCTGAAAGCTTGCCTGTGAATGACAAGGGAGTTTTTGCCTGGGTAGACTTTGAAGCATTCTGTAAACCTTTTAAAGAAAGGAGTGCCTTTGAAACCTCAAAAACTTGTAGTACTAAATATTTTAGTGGTGATTTATGAACAGTGTTAAAAAATATGCCTTTTCTTTCATTAAAAAAAAAGTTCTAACACTTAGCAAAATGATGAGGATTTATGTGTTAAAATGTTTTGCAGGGCAGCTTCTGAGTAATAGATTCATAAATATTTCCCTTTTTAAATTTAAAAGTAAAAATAAATTAGAAAAAAAACACCACCAAATTAAAGGTATTCAGTTAAATAGAGAAGATGAACTTCGGATTTTCACCTGACCTCACAGTGTTTGAACACTGAACTACACCCCCTCATCAAAGGTAGGCAGGAATGACCCTCTAAAAGTTCCTCTCTGTCACCCTCCCTCTAGCGTATATACACGTGCACATGCACCCCAACAGAATACATCAACATTTTGACTATTTACTAAGTTTGCTTTAAAATCATGCTTCTCTCAACACTGACTATTTTCTATTTAGGTTATTACTATTAAAAAAAAATATCTGGCCAGGTACGGTGGCTCACGCCTGTTGATCCCAGCACTTTGGGAGTCTGAGGTGGGTGGATCACCTGAGGTCAGGAGTTCAAGACCAGCCTGACCAATATGGTGAAACCCCATCTGTACTTTAAAAAAAAAAAAAATAGCCAGGTGTCGTGGCATGCGCCTGTAGTTCTAGCTACTCCAGAGGCTGAGACAGGAGAATGGCTTGAACCCAGAAAGCGGAGGTTGCAGTGAGCCGAGATCGGGCCACTGCACTCCAGCCTGGGCGACAGAGGGAGACTGTGTCAAAAAAAAAAAAAAAAATTCCCATGTGCCCAGAGCATTTTAGGCATATGAAAATGTAATTTAAAACTGATACACAATGATTGTGTGTTATGCAGGTAAAGAGTTAAGAAATAGTCCTCATGAGCTGCTTGAAGAGGGGATGAAAAATGAGACAAGAGACGAAAGGATGGCAGGGTCTTTCGGGCAGCGTGGGGGCTCCCCGTTGCTGGGTCCTTTTATGCTTTGTGATTGAATCCAGCCAGACCTCTGAGCACTCCTCTCCTTTTTGCTTGTGTGGCGATGGGGGTTGTTGCTGGGGAGAGGCAGGGGGAGTGAACGAGAAAAAAGAAAAGTTGGCCACACAAATACAATGCCAGAGACTGTGGTCCCAGTTCTATGGGGGAGAGCGAGTGGGAAGTTGCCGGAGCTCCACAAAGCAGCTCTCGTTCCCATGGAAACCGATGTTTAGTGCTGAGTGCCTCGCTTGACTCTGCATAGCCCCCTTCCTCTGTCTTTTTAAATCTCTGTTGGAGATGCATTGTCTTCTTGGGTTTTTTTGTTTGTTTGTTTTGTTTTAATAAAAATAAAGACGATGGAGAAGAAAACACTTTCCGCCTCAAGACATCCCGTGGATAGGCTGATGACACATATCCTGGGTGGGTTTGAAATCTGGCTGGATCTCCCCAGATCTAAGATCTGGTACCTTGTCTTCCAGCCATGTACTGACAGGCCACCAAGAGCTGTGCCAGGCAGAGATTGGCAGACTAATTTGAATACCAATGCTGCTCTCGGCTGGCTTCCAGTTACAAGGCGGGGAGGCCCAGGAGGGCAGGCAGGGTGGGGACAGGGGTGGATTCAACAGAGGCTTCTGGGGGGAGAGGGGGAGTTCTCCCACCATTATGTGCTTCCTTCCTTCTCTTACTCCCATGCCCCTTCTCTGCTGGGTTATTGGCAAGTCTACTTTCTATTCTTCAAGGATTAATGCCTCAGTGCAAGAGGAAAATTGGCAATTAAAAATATCTCAAAGCCTGGGATTTCTGTCGCTTTATCGTTTTCCAGTTAGATTTCATCAGGATGCCACTGCACAGAGAAGTTTAGGGCTTTTGTTGTTGTTTGTCAAAGAGTTTAAAACTATGAGCAGGATGTTTTTATCTTCAGAGAAAAAAGACAGGCAACCTTTTGTGCTAATGGAGCTTAGCTAACATCTATAAGCAGGGAGAATTTCTAAGGGGAAAGTGAGTTACTATAATACTCTCTAACAAAATAATCTGCTTATAAAAAATAAGATACTAGGTTCTTATCAGAACTGCTGAATATAAGTTATTTGGTACTTTTCCATACTTGAAATTTTTAAAAATCAGAGATTATATATACTTATGGAAATTCCTCTCACACCCCTCCAATAAAATATTTTAAATGTAAAAGATGATAAATGTGCATCTCTGCATTGTGAACTATCGTGTTGAAATAATTTCTCAGCTTCTGAGATTCTAATGAAATTCTCCAGGCAGGTTGAAGTGCTGAATCCCCTGGTGGAAGCTCCGGAGGAACCTTCCTCCCGTCCCCGTTGGCGGCTGGCAGGCTGTGGTGGTTTCGGGCAGGGAAGGGCCCCGCAGTGTCCCTCCTGTGGCCACACACACTCCTTTATTGCTCCAGCGCCCACCTGCTGCTTGCACTTGCGATTTGGGTGGCGTGATGCCAGTGACATCAGACAGGCCAGGGTATTGTCCCAGTCTCAGGGAAGATATAAGTTGTCATCATCAGTGAATATTTATTAGGTGTTCATAGGCACAGGACTTCATGCAAGGAGTGATCAGCAGGAGACCAGGAAACACAGAGGAAGCCGGATCATTTTTGGGGTGCAAGGCACCTTGTGCCGGTGATCACTCGTATGCCAGTTTTATTTCTTTGTAAGTGTGAAAAACGTGGCCCCCAATTTCTGCATCATTATTCTAACAAGGTTGGCAAAAGTCCTAGGCCTTTGTTACAGAGCGACAGCTTTTCTCTTTATATGATATTTTTGAGGTTTATTTATGGAAAGCCTTAAACGTTATTTTTTTCATGATTATCCTTTAAACCTAGTGCATTATTACCTGGGAAAACTCAGGGAAGATTTCTTGTTCAGAGCTAAGCAAAATAGTATTTACTGTAAGATGTAATGACGCAGCCCAAGTGGGTTTTTATTTCTAGGCTGGTCATGGTCATAATAGTGACTTTGCCGAGTTTTGAAAACGTATCTGTACAGAAGATTCAAGCTAGAAGAAAACACTAGTTATTGGAGGAAGTCTTTTACTGTGGGCAGCACGGAGGTCACCTTGTCTGTATGCCTGGGAGTTTTCTCCTTGCCCAGCCTATGAAATTAATGGTTTAATAGAGAGGGAAAGTTCAACCTCAAAATGTAAATCTTTAGCCCAGTTAATAGACACACTGGGGCACTGTATTAACTTGCATTTATATTCAAGCGGCGCGGTCACTCTGAAATCCTCCTCTGTGCCGGAAAGCAGCCTCTGCAGGAACTTGAAAGGGCCTAAAGCATGTGGGTTACTGGGTGAACCCCAAATAGTCAAACCAGTCAAACCAGTCTTTCCCAGCTCTAATTATCAGATGGAGCGGAACACTAGGTAAGAAGTGAGAAGCAGTGGAGTGAGGCGCTGGCTCCCTGAGGAGGAGCTGGGGAGGAAAGGGCTCATGGAGGGGCAATATTGCTTTGTCTGTCTGTGGACTGTGGATGGGGATTCTAGCCTTCATCGCCTCCATGTTACACATTCACCTTCCATGGGTTTTCCCATGTGAGCCTTCTAGGGATGAGCTATTACTTACCGTCTTGCATGTTTATTTTCTTCATTTCAAGGGCTTACAGTGCCAGATGCAGAGTTTGACACAGTTCGGTAAATGAAAGAATAAAGACTGTTAATGAGTTCCACTTTCTGTTTTCTGGTAGAATAGTAAGAACAGGCTTTTCATTTATTTCTACTTTTTCTTATTTGGACTTTTAAGTCTTGCCAGGATAGTCAGACTCTCTTTGTGTTTTGAGGTGGGGTTGTGCCGCTGGAGGAAGCTGAGGGGCAATTGTGGAGCAGGCAGTCACTTCGATTCTCTGTGAGTGCAGGAATCAGGGTCCAGGGCAGTTTCACTGCAAGGTGCACGGCCCTGCTGGACTTGTTGCTTAATATCTCAATTTTTTGAGGCCCTGAAATTGTGCAAACCCTTGGATGAATTTTCGTCTCATTCTGCAGCATTATTTCCAACTGCCGCTCCACCATGGCAGCTCTCCCAGGGGCTTTGTTAATGAATATAATTTTACAGCAACAAAAGAAGCTACGAGAACTGAAAGTTCTAGAGGGAAAACAGCACTTTCTTTTTTCCCCAAGTCAAATTTTTGAAGTCGCAGCTGTTTTCTCCTGCAGACCCACAGTCACATGGATCCCTGTTTAGGGAATCCTAGTCTTTTCAGTGGGAGGTTTTGATTTACTCACCTATCAAGACACTAGCTTATGTTCAAGAGCTCAAAGTCCTCATTTTGGATTCTTGTCAGTAGTAATATCACACACCCTTTCCCTGTACATTATCCAGTTCAGAAGTACAGGTGGTGCTTTGAAACTGTCAGGCCACAATAATGAGAAACGAAGAAATGTTACTTGAGCTTTGAAAAACAGGAGTCCATACATGATGGTGGTGTTGGAAGTGTGAACTCCATAGACTCAGCGCTTTTCCTGTCTTACTTTCAGCCTTGCTCCCTCCCTCCATCTGATTCACAGCTGCCTGTCCATTAAGGCACTAAGAGCTCATGGCTGCAGGGTGGACAGTGGCTGGACTTTTCCCCTGGTATTTCTGCTGCCTCCATTAACTGGACATCAATGAATTTGAATAATGGGTTGGTTTGTTATGCAGAAAAATAGATATTCATTCCTAGGAAGTTAGCTCCTTTAGAGGAAGTTTCCACTGGCAAACAGGACCCAAAGGATGAGCAGACTTAACTCACCAAAAATGTCCTCAATTCCAGTTGCCTTGGCTACAGCAGCAGCAGTTCCTTTCGATCATAGCACTCTTACGCCAGTGTGGCATTGCTGACAACTTCACCACCTGCCCCTACACTTCTACACCAGCAGAGACACACCTTCCTCTCCCCTGTGGGCTTCCCTGCTCATGACAAGGCTTGGTCGGTGGATGGTGTATGTACATTTCAGTGAGTGAGAGCAGTGCTTGAAGTATGAATCATTGATTATGTACTGATTCCTTTGCTCATTGGTTTGTATATAAAACATTGATGAGTCCTCTGTAAACTTAAGTAAGATAGGTTCAGCCATGCCAAGGGTTCACAATCCAGCAGGGCTCACAAAAGGATAATTGGTATTAATATAATGATTGCTGTAATGGATATTTATACTCAAGGTTCTATGGGAACATGGAAAAGTGAGCTCTTGAGTTCGTTGTTGGGAGAAACATGGAAAAAAATGATGAAGTGAATTTTACTGTAAAAGTAAAGTGGAGAAAAGTAGAAGTGTTGGTAAGCTTCAGTAGAGGGAGAAGGCAAGGACGCATGATGACTTTATGGGCTCTGGAGACTATGTGCGGGCCACTTTTTCGATAACAAGATTATATTCACAATTACATAATTATTTTATGACTGTTGGTATGAAGATTAATATATCAGTATTGTTTATTGAAACATTTCATTTGACCCCAACATTCATTTTTTTCTTCTGATTTTAAAAGAAATAAAAATATTTTGAAGGCTCCTTAAAGTATTGTGGGCCCTTGGCACTGGCTCTGTATCAGCCCTGGGAGAAGGTAAAGAGAGGGAGAAAGAAGAGGAAGAGAAGAACAAAGTTGTAGAAAGAAGAGAAGAAAAGCAGTCCCGCAAAAGAACAGTGTGAGATGCGTAGAGATTGCAAAAGAAATGATAACACAAGTTCATCAAATAATAAAATAAAAATATGAAAACAGAAGAAAATCAAAAGAAAGTAGAAAAGTGAGATGGAACTGAGAATGGTCACTGAGAACAACAAAATGTAAAATGACGTCAGAAGTTTTTCCTTTGAGTAGAGCCCCGAGAGAGAGGGAGGGCTTGGTCTTTCCCACCACTGCTTGGTAGTAAAGGCCATCCCTGGGGCAGGGGCAGGTAGGGAGAGAGGCCACCCTAGGACAGGAAGATCTGAACTGGGCTGGGCCCAAGGGAGCTTGGCAGGCGAAGACAGTGCCCAGTGACTTAGCCTGCCTTGAGAGGCAGATTTTATGTGCAAACAGAAATGGTCTAGTCTTCCTTCTACAAATGGAGTCCTAACTCAAACCTCAGAAAAGGAAGGAACCATATTAACAAGCATCGCACTTACCATGGATTACATTTACCTGAATCTCATCAGCGCTTTACATTCTGGACTTTTTTTTTTTCTTTCTTGAGACAGAGTCTTGCTCTGTTGCCCAGGCTGGAGTGCAGTGGCATGATCTCAGCTCACTGCAGCCCCTGCCCCCCAGATTCAAGCAATTTTGCTGCCTCAACCTCCCAAGTAGCTGGGACTATAGGCACACCCAGCATGCCAGACTAATTTTTGTATTTTTAGTAGAGACAGGGTTTTACCATGTTGGCCAGGCTGGTCTCGACCTCCTGGCCTCAAATGATCCACCTGCCTCGGCCTCCTAAAGTGCTGGGATTACAGGTGTGAGCCACTGCACCTGACCCATTCTGGACTTTATGACATTTATTTTGCTGTTGTTTCTAAATGCCTATCACAGAACAAGCTTTTCATAGGTATAATACATTTTCATGTACTTATTTATTTTCATATTCACAGTAGTCCTGTGAAGAAGACATCACTCTTCTCACTTTATAAATGAGAAACCAGGCTCAGAGTTTGTAACTGGCCCTAAGTCACATAGTTATGGAATTTCCTGAGGAGGGACTGACTTGACACTAGGGGTGTGTGTGTGTTCACACCTGTGTATGTGTGTTTCACTGGCACTGCCTTTCTGTGTAATGTTAAAAGATAACTGATTCCACATTGACTAGGGTATTCTTACACACTTTTTCCCATTTTTTTCTCATTTGGTTATTTATGCATTCTAAAGTCTGCCTAACATTCCTTTCCTTCTCTTTAATGAAAGCACCACTTTGATCATCTATCATTGGTTTGACCCAGCTGACATCTTAAATACAAAACCATGAGTAAGCTACTCTTCCTTTGATACTTAGGCATAAAATTTGGCATGCCAAATGTTTATGTTTATGAAGTTTTTCTAACACAGCTTGGAATTTTCATGTATCTGTTGATGACATGCAAATTGTTTCCCTTAGCATGCAGAAAATCCAAATGTAATTTAGAAAACGTTTCAGCTGGGCACGGTGGCTCACGCCTGTAATCCCAGCACTTTTAGAGGCTGAGGCGGATGGATCACCTGAGGTCAGGAGTTCAAGACCAGCCTGGCCAACATGTGAAGCCGTGTCTCTACTAAAAAATACAGAAATTAGCTGGGCATTGTGGTGGGCACCTGTAGTCCCAGCTACTCAGGAGGCTGAGGCAGGAGAATCACTTGCACCCGGGAGGTGGAGGTTGCAGTCAGCCAAGGTCACACCACTGCACTCCAGCCTGGGTGAAAGAGAGAGACTCCATCTCAAAAAAAAAAAAAAGAAAAGAAAACATTTCTTAGCAACATCCAAAAATGCACTGAAGGTCGTCACATTCAATGCATAACTTGGCAAGTTTTATTTTTTCCCCATAACATATAATTTTAAAGGAATCTAGTGCTTAGGAAAACTCCTTATGCATTGAGGCAAAGGTAGAGTTTTGCCAAAGATGTTAGCCCTTGGTAAGTTTAAAGCAACGTCCATTGGCTTCAACGTTTCATCCCCAAAGATTGTGCCATAGGTAGTTGCCATGTGCTTGGTTCAAATCAGTGAGAAATTATACAGAGCAGGAGGAAGTTGTGGTTGATTCATGACTCCTGTAGGAAAGCATTTGATTCAAACCATACCCTGTTCTCAGTGGCCAGTAAGAGAGGGAGTTCTACTTCAATCCTATTCTTCCTCAGTCTAGCTTGACTGGTCCACAGGTTGGGTGGTTCCATGGACTAAGATTAATGTAGGAATTCAGTAAATCTTGGCTGCTAGCTGTGGCTCCGTCATTAATTCACCAAGGAAGGCCGGTAAATTAGTCTAGCTTTTATGTGCTAATGTTTTCTCATGTAAAAAATGAGCACAATAACGACGGCTGAGCTATGAATTTTGCAAATAAAAGTTTTTCTAAAGCAAGTCTTGTTGATGTATTATCTTGCTTACTGAAAGGAAGTTGGGTGTTCAAGATTCGAAAATATATATGCATCTCTAAATCTGTCATTTAATGGCATGGCTACTAACTCACGGAGTGATTCTAAGGGTTATGTCTGTGTTTTTAAGTCAAGTCTGCAAAATGGAAAAACATTTGAGACACTTGTAAACCTGTAAAGCTCCATTTATTTAACTATAATAATAAGTACTGCCTGAATCCTTACTGTGCGTAAGCTGCTGGGTACAGAGAGAAATAAGAACTTGTTCCTACCCTCCAAAGACCGCAGTCTAACTGGAAACAAACAGGTAATAACTATAATGCAAATCTAATATACTGTAAACTTTAGTACAATAGGATGTCTTCTAAAGTCTGTAGAACATTTCTGTATAAGTAAAAAGTGTGAGAATTAATTCTACGTGAGACAGCGGATTGAGGAGGTGGCATTTAGAAGGAACCTATGGAAGGTATAAGATATAAGATGGTCTGTAGGGAAGGTGGAGGAGTGCTTCCCAAGGAGACGCAGTGGGCCAGGCACAAGGCTGGGTGTGCATGGCCTGGCCACAGAGCTTCCAAGATGCTAAGGTGGGTGGAGCACAGTAGGGCCTGGGAAGTGGTGAGCCTGGAATGGTGGATTGAGGCAGCTGGTAAGATACCTTTACACTTACATTTACATCTGGAGCCCTCAGAAGTGTTGACATGAGAAGGTAGCATAGTCGGAGTTGCTGTTTCAGGAATATCTGTGTTGGTAGAATGGGAAGGGATGGAAGGGAGCAGTGTTGAGTCAGAGAAGCTGGTTTGGAGGATGCTGGGTTCATGACACTGTTAGCCGCAGGGAATCCACAGGGGTCTGCAGCAACCTCAATTCTTGCCTCCTCAGAAGAATTCCACAGAGGGTCATAGGGCAGAGTGAGAGACCAAGGCAAGTTTGAGAGCAGGAGTGAAAGTTTATTACAACATTTTAGAGCAGGAACGAAAGTAAAGTACACGCAGAAGGGGGTCTAGCGGGGGACTTGAGTGATCAAGTGCCCTGTTTGACCTTTGACTTGGGGTCTTCTACGCTGGCATATGCTTCCGGGGCCTTGCGCGCCTGCTCTCCTGATTGCTCCCTTGGGGTGGTGTCCGCATGTGCAGTGACCTGCCAGCACCTGGGAAAGGAGCACGCACAGTTGTGTTTACGGGAGTTGTGCGCAGGCGCACTTGAGGCATTTTTTTTTTTTTTCCCTTCCCGGTCGAGTGTTCCTGGAGAAAGGTCATAGACCAGTTAAACTCCACCATTTTGCCTCTTAGCACACATGCTTGAGCCCACTCGGCCAACTTCTGAGATCTTATCAGGAAGCTGCTGATCCCCAGTTTCAGGTGTTTCCATCTATTGGAAGACTGCCTTTCCCTGGTGCTGGCTGTGACAAATTATGATTTTAGAGACAGCAACCGCCTGACCATCACCTGCTGGCTGCCTGACATTCCTGGTGGGGGTGGGGGGCTGCCCTCTCCTGCCCTGCTCATGTCTGACTAACCACCTGCTGTAACAATACATCATCACCGTGACAATATCAGAAAACACTGTGAACGGGACCACACTGACCAGGAGATCCAGGTCCCTGTAGTCTAGCCACACACGCCACCGCATCTATATACTCCCTTCCAGCAGCAGCACAGAAAGCCAAAGCCACAGCCCTCTGCCATTTCTGTGACTCCCCAAAGCACTGGGTGGAAAGAACACTATGTAGGCATTATTCTGAGGTCACACGTGTTTACCTTAACCCCAGAATTTGTGCAGATCTTTCTGCCTTTGCTGATTTGCCTGGTGTGACCTGGGGCACAACCCACTCTCATCCGAAGTCATACCAGGGCTCTACGGCGGTCACCATGACTGTAGAAACTACCCCTCAAGAGCATCCACTTCCACACACACGTCGGGTGTATGTTATTATTGATCATATTTTAATTGTTTTCCATTTATTTGAATTTTCAAGATTTTGTGGTCGTGTAGTATTAAAACTTACAACAAAACCTCATCAACCATTAGTTGACAACCTGTTTTTTTTTTTTTTTCTGCAGAATCATTTTTTAACAAATTGCATTTACATAAAACTGTCAGGCATTCAGAAATGTTTAACAAAAAGGAAGCCGCTTCGGCCAGCCCGCAGCTTGTTTTCCACAGACCTGTGGTCAGTGATATTCCCTTGAAGATCTGTTTATCTCATAATGAATCTTTAAAGATGTACTCTTTGTTTTATGTACTTAAAAAAGACGGAGAGAAGAGGCACGTGGGCAAAGCTCCTTGTGTTGGGTTAATTTTTTTTCTGTGTAAATACTGAAAGGAACAGTGTCAGAAAAGTCCATTTCCAGCTTGATCTCATCTTGAGCATTTCTCGCTCCCCAAAGGTAACCTTTCCATCGTGGGTCGCTCTGAAGTGAGTCGACGCGGCAACCATTTGTTTCTTGCTGTTTCCTCTGTATTGTTTTCCTTAATATTTTTTCAGGCTCTTGACAGATGCTGTAGCTAAGTTGTGGTAGTTTGATTCCCTTGTACCATGTTTCATTTGTGACAATTGGTCGCCCGGAATAACATTTGTATTTTTACTGTTGTCCCACATTTTAGTTAAAATAAATAATGGAAACAATGGTGTTTTCCAAATACACTCATCCAATTATCTAATTGTAATGTTCCTCTTTCCTGTTTAAGCATGTCTAGGTTTTTAGTTCTTGATTTGTTTCATTTCCTTTGAAAATATCCTTGATTTATCATTATTTTTACTAATTCCTTTTTGCTTAGATTGTTCTATGCTTCATTTTGTGTTTTTATGGAGTTCATTTTTGCCCTTTTTGATGACTAATTTCTCATTTTCTTGCATTTATTGAGTATAGCACATTGATCATGCAAAATTTTTTAGCTCTTATAGCAATTATATTTTATTCTAAATGACAATGTTAATATTCACCAAATTGGACTATATCTTTACCCTGCAAGTTGAAAAAGAAATGTATCACTTTGGCACCTTTGGAATATTTGCAACTCTTGAGATTTTTTTGAAGCACAAAATGTGTTTGAGAGTACAGGACAGCCTCAGAGGCACAGAGATAAAAATAACCGAATTATTTCCATTCACTCCTCTGTTTGAAGTCATAAAATAAACTGAGAAACAGCATGAATCGTAAAAAGATGAATTGGGAATCTGAAATTCTTTCAGCTTTGTTCATCTAAGATATTCATTGTTTGGAAGTGGTTTATTATAAATTTTTCTGTCATTGGTGACCCTTGGTTAAAACTTAAAAAAAGAAACATATTATCAAGATCTTATTGGTCCAGACTAAGTGTTTGATACTGTATCTTAGAGCCATTATAAATGTCTTTCTCAACAGTACCACTTTTGTTACCCTCATATTCATTATTCAGGATGCCACACATTTAATCACATAAGATCCATAAGAAATTTAAATGCTTTGAAGTTCATATGGCCACATAAGAGCTTTATAACTTATGGGCATAAGAAGAAATTTCATTTTTACATGGCACTAAGAGACAAGAGGATAGAAGCCCATGGAAACAGATGGAGGTGGCTTAGACCCAAGCATCGGTTTTGAGAACACAGGCCAGGGGTTAAGGACAGCTTCTGGAGGCTCCTGCTGTTCTTCTGCCCTCCCCCACCCCATCTAGTCCTCAGCACAGTGCCTCCCTGTCCTTTACTGTAGAAGGGTTCTGATTCAGAGATAATGATGCTGTGAGAACAAATTGGGGGAGAAAAAGGTGAAGTTAAAATTAACTCTGGTAGTATGGGGTGAAAGAGGCAAAAAAAAAAATGCTTGAAGATTTACTGAATATACGTCATCCAGATTCTGCCAAGAGAATGTACAGTGCTAAGTGTTGGGTGTGTTTTTCAGTATTTCTCTGGAGTGCTCTCAGAAAAATCCTCGTAGAAACGACTGAATGAGAGTGTATGGTTTGCTGTAGAAAAGTTATATTTAAGATAGCTAAAACTAATTTTTAAATGAAAGGCAGTTTTGCTTGTGGAGTTTCACAAACATCAAAATGCCTTTTAGATATCTGTCTTAAACGAATCCTAATATGTAACAAAGAGAAGCCATTCCAGCGTGGGGCCAAGGCTTCCTAAACCAAATGATTTTTGTGTTTTAACAAAGTGCCCTGGACTTGGAACCTGGAAGACTGCTTGGAAATTTAGATCTACCTTAACTCACCTTCTCTGGGCCTCTGGAGCCTCTGTTTGTGCCCCGTACTGTGCATAGACCTGCTCCCAAGTGTCATTGGAACATATTTATTCCCAGCTCTGCATCCAGTGACCTCACATTGGTGGCTTGCAGTTGGCCATGTGGGAGCATTTACACCATGGAAATTGGCAAATCCTAGCTATCACGGCTTTATTCTCTCAAAGAGTCAGTAGTGAGGTATTTGCCAACAAACTTCTGTTGCTGGCTGATATTTAGGATACTCTGAAAATTCCATGCTGGTCTGATTCTATGGAGCAATTGTTTGCTTTTAGCTCTTAGTTTCCACTAATTCAGTGACATAAACTCCAGAGAATTACATTTTGTCTCAAAGCCCTCCAGGCGGGGCTTGGTCAGCTATGGGATGGGTGAGTGGCAAGTGGCTCTGTGAATGCGTCTTGGGGCTCCGCCTCTCCCCTTTAGTCAGAGCTCTGTTATTCCACCCCGATCCTCATCATTAGCTGCTAGAAATAGTCACCACATGGTCTGCAGAGCCTTGCTTGCATGAGGTATGCCCAGAGGAATGGACATTCTTCAGCTTCTCTTCCCTGAAGTCACATTTCCAATGAAAAGACTGAGACCCAATCTAAGCGCAAATGCTTGGTATTATCATTTACGTACATTACATTGTATCCCCCTGCAATTCTGCCTCCTGCCAAAACTTTACAGTGTACATCATGTACCCATTCCAATAGTAGCTTTCCTGGGGAAAATGAAAAGTACATAAAAGTACTGGCTATGTGGAAATAACACCTTTATATAACATTGATCCTTAGTAAGATCAAAACATAGGATAAAAGTAATCATGTTCTCAGAAGCAACACATGAGTACATGAAAATCAGTGTGTGGTCTATTTGCTTTTCTCTTTTGGATTATTTATAGAGATAGTTGTGGCATTTCAACAAGAGAATGGCCACGTTTGATTGTCTTACCCATGAGGGGTGTGTTATGTATACACTCTCCTAAGGCTTGGGAGGGAATAAAGTGTTCCTCTCTCCTGCAAATGCCGTAATTTACTAGCCACTTGCACCTGTCATGCTGCACATTTCTCTCCCAGTGGGAATACTACGTATGCCTTCAATAAGCCACCATCCCTGGCAACTAAAGGAAGGGCAGAAAGCTGTGTGTGTCCATTAAGTCTATTTTGCACCTTTGATCTTCTTGCTTGGCCACTTTATTTGTCATCTTTCCAACTCTTCTGGCTAAAGTGGTGCGGCTTTCACCTTAAATCAAGTATTTTCCATTCTTTAGCAATTTAATTTGTAAATCTTTTACAGCACGTTTTTGCTTTGGTTTGATCCCTTCTGGAGAAGGTGGATGTTGGGGATATGGAAGAAAGAGTTTAAGAAAAAATAATCCAGATTATAGGGGTGAACATCATCAAAATACAGCTTCCTCAAAACAATGTGCTTCTCTCATTTGCAGACATTATTTCTGAAGAGTTATATTTGTCCCTTGTTTCAATGGAAGTAGTTTATTTCCATTTATTTTCAACTTTTCTCTCGCATTTTGTATTTTCTGCATTATTTTTGATAGAAAGTGGGCATACTTGAGTTGTCAACCATGTAGGGAAACTTTTAAGTTCTTTTAATATTTTCAACAGGAGCCCTATAATTGGATAATTATTTTTTTAAAATACTTTTTGGCTTGTTCTACTTTTTCCCTTTTGGGCTGTCTTACTATGTTTGAAAATGCACACACGATAAAACCTAATAATAGTAATTCCGTGCACAGATTTTCCTCATGGCAACGTTCTTGAACCATGATCACACTTTCATAATGCGGCGTCCTAGTGGCCAGATGACATTTCTGGCTCGTCACTTGTTGAGCCATCTTAACCTTGAACCAGCTTTGAGTCCTTCACAGTCAGTGCTAGCGGACAGAGCCCCCTGCTGGAAGTTCTGGGCACCTGTATTTCCCCTGGAAACGGAAGGTCACTCCCCAAGGCTGGGAGACCAGGAGGCTGGAATATACCCAATTCGTGAAAAAAATGGACAGAAAGCATTCGACTGACAGCATGAGTCAATAAAACCTCAAATTATTTTTTCAATACACTTCCTTTCCTTTTGAAAGTTTGGGTAAGAAAGGCAAATACCAGATCTCTTTAAACGATCTATTGTTTCTCAAATTAGAATTTCCTAAGAAATGATTCTTTTGGTTAATAAAAGGTATGCCAGCAGTGGGGTGGGTATTATATTTTCTCATTTCAAATTTTGGAAATGGTGGATTAAATACAATTAAACATGATTCTTTGTTGCAGAACTTCTCAGTGCCTTTAATATGAAAAGTGCATTTTGTACAACAGAGTTTTTCCTAAACTTGTTTGACCATGGGCATTTATTTTGTGGCACATTTATTAATGTTTTTGGAAGAGTGCTTCGCAGAATATCAGTTTAGGAAATCCACTGATGTTCTTCACTCATTTTTCTAAGGCTTCTGTTTCAAAGAATACTTCAATTTTATTCTAATTATACCACTGTACATACAACTGCGGGAAGGCTATTTCTTAATATTCTAATGCTGAGAGACACAATGCTTGGCACTTGGATAGTCAGGGAAGTTTTTATTCATTTGAGTCTTGGCTCATTTTTTGTGCTATCTTTATGAATATCTTCGTTTAGACATAGGTTCATCCATATTTTATAAAAATGATTTTTCCTTAGTTTTAATGGACATACTTTAACAGTTAGCAGTGTTTGAAAAGAAGACTTAAGAATTATATGCATCTTAGATTTATAGGCCAATAAAGTATTGATTCTATGTAGGAAAGAGTGAGCTGGTCTCATACAGGTATTTTGGGATCAAGCGCTTCTCATAAAATCAGTGTTTGAAAAGGAAATTATCATATTACTCTTCATATTATAGTGGTTTTGTTACTTTAAAAGTGCTCTTATGGGATCATACACAGGTGCATACTCACTTTATAGGTGTGACTGGGCAATGGAAGTGTTTACTAGAAAATATCTCATGAGAAAACTTAGATTTTCTAGGGTTTCCAGTTTGAAACATTCACAAGGTTCTGATTACTTAAATTACATTTTAATAAACAAATGTTCTGGTCTAATCCAGATCTTGTGATTTCTCTGTAGCTGGTTACTTCTTACTGTATCAACTAAATGTAAGAAACAGTTCTCCGTGTAGAATTCAAGTGTTGTCCTATTTTTTATTAGCTGCTAGAAGAGAGTGCCCCAAGTTTTTCCTCCAGGGCACATGGTTTGATTGGCATACTTTAGCTTTGTTCTCAGGAGCACCATGTCACGTGGATTCTCTCCTATTTAATCAGGCCACTGTAAAACGTGGTACAAAATGGTCAGAATGATTAGGGTCATACAGTGCTTACCGGACTGCTGCCATTTGGTTTATTCATTCTGCTAAGATTCTCAGCTTTAGGAAGAGCTGCTTTACTCAGGAGGAAGAGAAAATTAATTCTCCAATCCTAAGTCTTCCGTCTCAACGCTGCATCCTGAAGTGATTTGTAAAATTCAACTCTAACCCTGCGGATTCTGGGTCAAAACACACCCATCTTCAGTTTCCCTGCAGAAGGACAGAGCCGGAGAGGAACGTGCTGTCTGTCTGTCCTTCTGGGCCTGGTCTCAGCCAAAGCTTCCAGATAGGTGCTTTCAGGATTTCCCAATTGCTTCAAGTAACCTCTTTCAGGACTTTGCAGTCTTACTGTTCAAACCGCTTTCTTTCCCCGAGTCCCTTTAAGAAAATGCAATATGTAGATATTTGATTTAAATAAAATCCACAAACATTGTTAAGCATATTTATTAGATAATTGTTTCTTCCCATTACAGAAATACTCTCTACTCCAAAAACGTATTCAATTCCTTCAAACAGAAAACTTCTGGTGACTTTGAATATGACACATTTCAAAAGAATGGGGAATTCCTGTTAGGCCCCCGGCACTGTGGGCTTCCTCATGCTGCTCTCTTGTTCAATGCAATGCAAGTCCCACCAATCCTGGAATTCTTGCTGATGTCTAGCTCCTGCCTCCTGCTTGCAAGTAGAGTTTCCAGACAAAATACGAACACCCTGGCCATGTTTGGGACATGCTGCTACTAAAAAAGTATTCCCTACTTATCTGAAGTTCAAATTTAACTGGGCATCCTCTGTTGTTATTTACTAAATTTGGCCACCCTAATTCTAATTCACTTGGACTCTGACAAAATGCGCAGGATTTTATAAAAAGACTTTTATTCTGAGTCGAAGAAATGTAACATAAATGGCAATATTCTCTCTCTCTTCTGGGACAGGGTCTTGCTCTGTCTCCCTGGCTGGAGTACAGTGTGCAATCATGCATGGCTCACTGCAGCCTCAACAATCCTGGACTGAGGTGATCCTCCCATCTCAGCCTTTCAGGTAGCTGGGACTGCAGGTGCATACCACCAGGCCAGGCTAAATTTTGTATTTTTTTGCATAGAGACGGAGTTTCACTATGTTGCCCAGGCTGGCCTTGAACTCCTGGGCTCAAGTAATCCTCCCACCTCAGCCTCCCAAAGTGCTGGGATTACAGGTGTGAACTGAGTCCTGCTGGCAATTATTTTTATCGTCAAGAAACCTGATTCTTTTTACTTTAACACTGAGATTGATTCCAACATCACCTTCACAGATACCTGGGACTTTCTCTGGGAAAGTCCACAGCAGCCTTCAGGGGCCCCAATGTGTCCCCTTTAAATCCCAGCGACTGAGCTGTTGCTCGGGGTTCCGCTACTGGCACCCGGCCCACTGAGCAGGACAGCTCCTTCCTGGAATCTCCTGACCCTGAGTGGGAGCCCCTCTGTTCCAGCGAGCTCCAGGCCTGCCTCCTTCACGAGGCCCCCAGCTCGGGCTGGCAGGGACTGCACCTTGGCTGCTCTCTTCCGTGCTCACATGTGGGCACTCACTCCGTGTTGTGCCCCCTCCCTCCACGCGTGTCATCTACCCAACATCGGGAAGCTCGCTGAGGGCTCACTCCCTAGCTTTCTCCTGTTTCCTTGGGATTGCGAGCTATTCTTAGTCAGTGTTTAATAAATGCTTCCTGAATGAATAAAAATGTCATTCCAACAGAAGCTCCAGTCACACGCCCTGGAGATTTAGCACTACAATCTGAAGAACATGTTCAAAACCCATTTTTCTGTAAAATAACAGACCTTACCAATCGCTCTTGTAATAATCCTTATGGAGGAGGAGAATCTTATCAGCTTCCCTTAATTCCACAGAGGTAATCCCTGCAGCCCCAGCTTCATCGTGGCAATTATATCAGTTCTTTGTTGTTCTGTTTTAGATTTGTTTCCTGAATTCTCAGTGAATGCCAGGGATTGATTGAACTGGGTCATTTGTATTTAATCCAGATTCTTTGTCTCTGCAAGGATTGGAGCCTTGGCCCCGGGACATGCTCCTGGGTGCGCTGCGTTTCTCCCAGCCCTGAATCAGGACACTCTGAGCTGCCTTTCCCTGGCTGGCATGGAGGAGCAGGAAGAATCCTGACGCTGGAGTCAGGAAGGCTGGGTTCCAACCCGGCTCCTCTCCGCTCCTGGGCTGAGAGGGTCATAGCACCTTGTGGGGCCACCTGGGGTGTGCTGGGTGCACGGCGGGCCCCTCAGCCATGCCCGTTCCTCGTCCTCCCTCTCTTCTACGTTCCACTCCTTACACACTTGTGTGTAATTTAGCTCTTATTGACAGAATAAAGTAAGGAGGGCTTTATTCTCACGTGCCCAGGAGCTCCATGAGCTTATGCAGTGCAGAAATGAACCACTAAACCACGGTACTTTTTCAGAAAGCAACTTTCTCCTTTTCCTTGATTTTTGGAGACTAAATATGGCAAATGCCTTCTGGTGCCCCTTCCGTGGTGCTCATTAATTAGCCCTGAGGCATTTTCTGTTGGTGATCCCTGTCATCTCCTTTCCCACTCCGTGCAGGCTTTGTCTGAAGACCAGGAGGGAGAAGAAACTTTTGGTGTCTCCAACGTGTGCAGGGCTGGGAGCTGCTGTGGCCTCATTCTTGGGGGTGGTGGGGTGTGAGGAGGATACATAAGCTTCTGGGGCACCTGGCACCAGCCAGTAACCTGGGACTCTCTCACCCTCCGTTTTCAGCTTTGGGGGCTACAAAACCTGCCCAAAGGATGTGCCGTGAGTGCTGCTCTATCATTTCACTGTCACTGGGGATGAAAAGGTGGGAGAAATGATGCAAGGAGTTCTCACTGCCATTCTTTTATTTGCTCTGACATTAAAAAAAAAAAAAAAGGTAGAGCTTGTATTTCTTACATGCCCAACTGTTGTTTTTAAAACTTAGAAATTTGGAAAAGCTTCTGTGACACCTGCATTTTTTTTTTTTTTTTAAGTTGGAGTTTCCCTCTTGTTGCCCAGGCTGGAGTGCAGTGGCACGATCTTGGCTCACTGCAAACTCTGCCTCCCTCGTTCAAGCGATTCTCCTGCCTCAGCCTCCGAAGTATCTGGGATTAAAGGCACGTGCCACCACACCCAGCTAATTTTTGTATTTTTAGTAGAGACGGGGTTTCACTATGTTGGTCAGGCTGGTCTGGAACTCCTAACCTTGTGATCCACCCGTCTTGGCCTCCCAGAGTGCTGGGATTACAGGCATGAGCCACTGCGCCCAGCCTGACAGCTGCATTTTTAAACTGTGCTGGAGACAGTGCACCTCTGTGATGGGGCTGGCAGGGGCTGGGGTTTGCCCAGGCTCAGGGCTGGGGTGCCACCTCCCTTGTCCTGGCGACTGCCCTTCAGGGAATGACTTTCATTGTCCTCATTCTGGAAATGAGGAAATGGAGGCTTAGGAACTATGTCAGTCTTCAATTGCTGTATAACCACCTTCCCAAAATTCAGTGGCTTCAAACAACCACTGTTGATTTTGCCCTAGAGGCTGTGGTCCCCTGGGCGGCACTCTGGGGTGAGGCTGGGCTGATTCAGGCTTCAGGGTCAGGCCAGAATGGCTCCTGCGGGGGTGTAGAGCTCGGTGGATGACAGGGCCACTGGGCCTTTTCCTGCTTCCTCCAGCCTGGTGGCCTTGGCTCCTCCAAATATGGTGAGAGGGTTACCAGGGGAGCACATGGCGGTGAGCAGGTACTCCCCAGATCTCAGCCATGTCACTCCTCATCATCCCAGTGGCCAAAGTGATCCTCTAGCCAACACCAGAGGCAGTGGGAAGGGGAGGTAGTCAGGGAGGTGAAGAAAGGGAGGCAGGGCGGGTGGCCTACAACAGGGAGGTTGAGTAACTTGACTGAAGTAACCCAGCCCAGGTGAGGAGGAACTGGGATTCGAACCCACATGCTTCCTTTGACCACTGAGGCCTGATCACTCAAGTCCTAGGTGGGCAGAGCTCAATACCCGGGGGTTGGACTTGGACAGCTTGGGTTAGACTTTCTGTTGCCAGACTCAGTTCCTTCTCTTCTTGCTCTTAGAGGTGGGTGTTAGGAGCTAGCTGCCTGGTGTGAAGCGCCAATCCTTGAGTGGAAGATGCAGAAAGGTGCAGGGTGTTGCTTCGCTGTAGCTCACCTTGGCCAAATCAGCTTCTAGAGCCCCCGTGCCACTTGTTGGATTGACTATTTAAGTGAGATCCCCGCATCCCCATAAACTCCCTTATAGTCCCCCATCCTGAAGATGGGACTTTGTAGCCCAAATGCAAAGTCAAAGTTTCTAAGTGCCCTGCCCGGCTTTCCTCTTAAGTTGTCCGGATATGCACCACGAGCTAACAACCTCACCGGATTGATTCTGGTGTGGAGAATAGGTTTCTTTAAAGAGGAGCTCTGCGGTGGTGGCTCTGGAGTGCCTGCAATTCCTGCACCTGGTGCCTCTGCCCTTGAAGGGCAGTGTGAAAGCTGGGAGGGCGGGCGTTTCAGCCTCCTTTCTGAAGGATGCAGTTGGGCATCTGATAGGTTACCTTAATTACACCATTTCCTCCTCCCTGTACACACTTCCAAAATCTAATTATAGTACATGTGACACCCTGTGACCAGCCAGAAGCCAGAGATTAATATAAAGTCACAGCAGGACAGTTTGCTCCCTGAAACGGTTTACATGACATTGCAAATATAGTCCTCAAGGATTTGATGCTGATACTTGGATACGTTCATCATCACGTTAGCATGTGAAGCAGGCGGGCTCTATGGGATCCGATTCAGCGCCCGTGGGAGGAACGGCTGGGGTTTATTCCCATTGGCCCATGCCGCTGTCCTTCTGGAATTTGACATTGGTGTCCTTGGAGTTTGGCATCTATTCTGAGGGGCCTTAGCCCTTTAACAATATGTCCCAATTAATTCTGTATTAATTGGGGGGGGGGGGCGCCTGTGGGTCCGTCTATGGGGGGCGCTTGGCCACTCTCCTGGGTGTGCTATCTCTGCCCAGATAAAGGATATTGTGTGCAGGCATTTGAGTTGGGAGCACTTGTTTATCTCTGTTCCTGCAGCTTTATTTAGCCTGGAGCTCCATACCGGGCCCTCACAGCCACACACCTACCAGAAGCACTTGCCCCAGAGTGGGACTCTGAGGGGAGAGGTGGCTGGGGAACGGCTGACTCGGGGCTGCAGAGTTATTTTCCTCCTCAAATCTGGGGCCTTGTTGTACATGTGAGGATTTTTGAAGACCAGCCTCTAAACCTATTACAAATTCTTCAGTGACTAAAATGTCAGCATGTGAACCGTCTTCCCACCCAGCTCGGGCTCTGTCTCTTCATTCAGGGGTGGCTTTAGTTTACCGGGAGATAAGTGGGGGAGCGATGTGAGAGGAATTCAGGAGAGAGGACAATTCCAGCTAAAAACAAACCTCAAGTGACAGTTGTGTAAACGCGCTCGCAAAGTAACATTCAACAGAACAAGCAGGGCGAGCGTCACAGGCCTCTTGTTGGAGAGAGACACAAACCTGGATTCCAAGTGCAAGGGTTTGACTTGGAAGAATGGCAAGGGCTCCCTCAATGTTTAAGAAACTCTAGGAAGCCTCCGCAAAGCCAAGATGCTCTTCAGTGTAAGCCTCTCTCGTCAGGCCCCCCTCCCCCAGAGGCGGATTCTCAGGCTCAGAGCTCTTGAGATCCGTGGCTGACCTCCTGACCATCGTTAATAATGACCGTTGCATGTTTCTAAATTGCTAAGGGAGTACATTTCACGTGTCCCACCATGGACAATAAGAGGGGTGGTGGATATGTTAATAAGTTTGATTTAATCACTCGACATTGTATACTAGACCAAAACATCACATTGAACCCTGTGAATACGTGTAATTATTATTTGTCAATTAAAATAATAATTTTCCAAAGCTGCTCCTGCAGGTGGATGTTTAGTGTGCTTTGAAGGCCAGTTCGGTGGAGCCTGGTTGTGAACCACGCAGGGGCACCCAGCTGGGAGCCAATGAGAAGTTGCTGAAGGGTTTCAGAGCTGCCTGCACAGCAGATGGAGCACAGACAGGGATGGACTAAGCCACCTGTGGGCGCCGGGGCTGTCACTGAGCTCCCCTGGGTGCCACAGTCTTCCTCACGTGCTGGGGACGCTCTTTCCTGCTGGGCTTGGCTGCAGGGACCTCGAGTCTCCCCGTGGGTGAAGCCCCATCTCACCAGGGCAGGGGTTAGGAGACTCTCTCCCAGGAAGCCCACGCCTTCCTCGTACCAATGAAGCACTGCAGGTGCCCCCAGCACAGACCTGCCTCGTCTCATGGATACCCTACCTCGGACATCTGGACAGGCTGTGTGATCTGGGGAGGGACAAGCAGGTCAATTAAAATAAGTTTCAGGGATGTCCTCACAGCCCCCTCAACCGGGATTGTTCTTTTGCAGTAAGAGCATCTGGGGCCTAGATACCAGTGTGGCCCCTCCCCACCACCCCAGCTTTATTAGGGGATCAGGAGGCAAGAAAGGCACACAGGGTCTTGGTTGGTCTCTTAAGTGTAGAAGAATATCACTGCTTATTTTGCAGAAAATCATTCTCCAGAATTAGTCCAAAAGAGTTCACTACAGTTTGTAGCAGGTCATGTCAATGAATGCTATAATAATAGTGACGAGAAAAGAGAGTAACCAGGGTGCCCTCCTGCCCTGGGTTGAGATTTGGGAGTCAGCAGCATCGCGATGGTAGAACATTTATTCCTGGTGACAGCGTCAGAACCAGAAAGAAAACAGCTTGATTTCCAGGTTCCAGGTTGAGCCCGCCAGGCTGGCAGGAAACTCTATTGCTTTCTCAACGAAGGAAATTTGATTCCTAAGTCACTGAGAGAGAGAAAATCAACTCCTTTTATGTCACTTTTATTATATGGTACTCTAATAATTCTGACATCTGTTTCTCTCATTTCTAGATTTTAAGACTTTACTTCGATCTGGGGCCATTAAATATTTGGGACCTTTCTAAGAAACCTTTTTAAAATTAACGAAGCTGTGCATGTGTGTTCTCCACATTGTATTGTATGACCTTAAGACTTGACGTTGCTGGAGGGGAAGGGTTTGTGTTTTGTGAAAACTACAACAGCCATGAGGTTTAATGTTTTTCTTGATCCAAATTGAGGCTTCTCTTCAGAAGTCTCTATATGATCTCAGAAAACTTTTTGCGACTGACCTCAAGGCATCCAAATTATTTTCAATGGAAAGGGCATCCAAGATTTAAAAATACGCTCTAGGCCTGGAAGGACCCTGGAGCCCAGATTGGAAGGGTGGGGTGGTTGAGTGCTGCTGCTGGAAGCTCTCGTAAAAGGGGTGAATGAAGTAAACATCATTAGAATTGCTGGGTGCCAGAGGCGCCTGTGTGACATGTCTGGATGGCTTCACCGAGACACACAACTGATTAGATATTCAAAGTCAGGTGCTAAGAAACCAAGGTCATGCCATACTGCATTTCTCTCAAACAACTGGGCCCAGATAAGTTAAGCAGTGGGTGATACCCCCAGACAGATAAGGTGGCAATTTTTAACAATCTTAAAATATTGTTACAGCAAGGAAGGTCGTGATAAGATCAAAGCATTTGGAATTATGTTAACGGGTGCTGGGATTTCTTTTGCCCTCCCCTCTCCCTGAGCCTCCCCCTTCCTGCCACGTCTGCTTACAAGCACACACATACAAACACCACACACACGGGGCATGGCGTGTTCCAGAACCTGCTGGGATACCGCTAGGCTTTGGAATATGAATGCAGGAAGTGCTCGTGATTTTTTTTTTTTTCCTGTGCTCACAGCAGGTTGATTTATGGCCTGGATTACTGGAAACAGTAATTCTTTGCTCTTTATGATGTTTTGGTGGGGGATGCAGTAGCCTGCAGTCAGAACACCATGATTTCAACTAGGTTTTTACAAAAAGGTCTCTGCAGAAAGGGTGGCTGTGAATTGGTCAGCTTCTGGAACAGAGCAGTTAATAAGACACTAGCACATTAATCATGTGACGGCTATTGGGCTTCGCAGGGACAGGCACTAGCTTTTAAAAACAGCAATTTAGGTGACTACTGTGTTGAAAGAGGTTGGCTGAACACACTGTTTTTAACCCACAGTTAACAGTTGAATTGTGTGGGTGGTTTTTACGTACACTTTTTCGTGTATCTGGAATTTTTAATAACCCTAATACAATAATCTCTTCTATTACCTTTTATCCTATGTCAATTTCCAGAGCTACAAATGTAATGAGGAGTAAGCCAGTTATCTGCTAATTCTGGAGAAACTGTCAAGAATTATTCTGAAATTATCTGGACAATGCATAAACTCTTCCACTTTACCGGGTGGCCCTGGTAACTCCATAACAAGTATTTTGGGGTGGGGGCAGCCACAAAACCAAAGCCACCACTCACTAATGAAATAAATGACTCTCCTCAGCTGAGTTTAAGAAGTTTGTCCTATGTAGAAACTAAAATCTAGAAGTATATTAGAATTTCTGTTCTTTGGACCAATAAAAATTCATAGTATAAAACTTAAGACATAAAATAACAGTGATTTCATGTATCTGCCAGTAGAAAACCACAGTTATCATTTTGTAAGAAACAAAAACACTACGTTTTCAAATCCAACAGTGATTCACTTTTGTTTCCACTCATTTGTTGCATTTTATTAGTGAAATGAAGTATAAAGGAAGCTGCATTTATCGGGCAATTACAATCTACAAGAGGCTATGAAAATGCAGTGGGAATAAACCACATCTTTTGTTTTGAAGGAGAGAAAAGTATGATAATTAATTAGTGAAGAGAGTGAGTGTTTTGAGGGTATTAAAATTATCGCTGTTAAAACCAGACCTGACTAGGTTCAAATTTTGTTTCCAAATCTCACTAGCTGTTTAATCTTAGGCGAGTTATTCTCCAATCTTTCTGTGCCTCAATTTCCTTGTTGTTAAAATGCATATATTCAGAGACCACAGTTCATGGGATTTTCTTGAGGATTAAGGGAAATTATGACAGTGAGTTCACTAAAAAAAAGCAATGTCTTTTATACAGTGACCTCTCAGAAAGTAAATTTTGGCATATCCATATTATAGATTATGATGCATTAATTTAAAATGGTGACACAGTTGTGGATTTAGAGACAAAGAAAAATGTTAATATATTGTTAAGGAGAAAAGGCTGTAAAAGATTTATAAATGTTTTATGCATTTGTGCAAATTACTAACAAAATGTTCTAAGAGGAGTTATAAAACAATAAATGTTTTAGTTGTCTCTCAGATTGGCACAGGTGCAAAAATAAAGTTCATACTCACTGCAGGCCGTGGGTGAGTATTAGACACACTCCTGCACCATTAGTGGAAGAGTAAATTAGTGTATCCTTTTGGGAGAGTAACTACATATATCTATCAAATGTTTCTCTATTTGGCCTATCAATTCTACTTCTTCAAATTTGTGCTGAGCAAATAATCATTGATATGTGAAAAGATTTATCTGTCAATAGAATCTATATTGCAATAAACATATATTATAGGCACATGCAATAACATAGAAAATCTCAAAATCCTAAAATTTGGTGAGAGAAGCCCAGCAAAAGAATGCATGTTCCATAATAAAAATGACTGAATAATTTCATAAAATTCAAAAACAGTCAAAATTAATTTAAAGTATTGGACATCAGGAGAGTAGTTATCTTTGGAGGGGTGAGAGGAGATATTGATGGAGAAAGGGCTAAAGGAATATCTGGAAACTGGGAACTTTCGATTTCCTGATCTAAGTACAGTAGCGCTTACACAGGGGTGCTAACTCGGTACTAATTCCTTGAACTGTGATAAGATGTACGCACAGTCTGTATTCTGTGTACGTTGCTATGTTGTTTATGTGAAAAAAGAATTAACCACTAATCACTGTGGGCTGCCTCAGTAAACTTTTATATCCATATTTTTATTAGCATGCATTAAATTATTAAAGTTATCAATGTGAAAATTTCTAAGTTTACTACTTTTAAATTTATCCCTATGGAAAATCCTAATGACGCAGTCAGGAGAAAACAGGGTACGCGGTAATATATATGATCTCACTGTATTATAAAAATAACAAGCTCCTTATATTTCTGTGTAGACATAGGCACTAACAAACTCTAGACAGCTATAAAAACAGAGACTGTTGGCCGGGCACAGTGGCTCATGTCTGTAATCCCAGCACTTTGGGAGGCCGAGGCGGGTGGATTGCCTGAGGTCAGGAGTTCAAGACCAGTCTGGCTAAGATGGTGAAATCCCATCTCTACTAAAAATACAAAAAAATTAGCGGGGCGTGGTGGTATGCGCCTGTAATCCCAGCTACTCGGGAGGCTGAGGCAGGGAAACTGCTTGAACCAGGGAGGTGAAGGTTGCAGTGAGCTGAGATCATGCTACTGCACTGCAGCGAGCAAGACTCTGACTCAAAAAAAAAAAAATAAAAACAAACAAACAAACAAAACCACACACCAGAGATTGTCTTCACATAATAGAAGCATAGATATTTTTAAAAAATTTTTTAGTATTATCTGGATGTTTTGCAAAGATCATAATACTGCCCTTCTGTAGATGATGGTAGCTACCTCTATAATTCTTCCGTGTGTTGCCCTTGCCTTTGTAGAAATGGAAAAGCTTCACCTCCATTCTCTTAGGATCATGGCTGAGTCCGAGAATAACGTTGACATAAGATGCTTTAACAGGAGAAAAGCCTAATGCAAGTTTGGACGCAGTGTTTCACACCTGTAATCCCAGCAATTTGGGAGGTGGAGGCAGGCGGATCATTTGAGGTCAGGAGTTTGAGACCAGCCTGGCCAACATGGTGAAACCCTGTCTCTGCTAAAAATACAAAAAAAATTACCGCGGCATGGTGGTTTGTGCCTGTAGTCCCAGCTACTTGGGAAGCTGAGGTGGGAGGGTCTCCTGAGCCTGGGAGGTTGAGGCTGCAGTGAGCTGAGATCATGATGCCTCTGCACTCCAGCCTGGGTGACAAAGCCAGACTGTCTCAAAAAAGAAAAAAAAAAAAGAAGACCCAAAAAGTAGTTAGAGTCATTACTTTTATACTGAATTGAACAAAGAGTAGTAACTTTTAAGAAAGCAACTATTGTGCAGGGAGGCTTAACAGATAAGAATGATGCTAACAAGGCCCTCTCAGTTATGACTTCTTGTCCTTGAGGATAAGGCTGTTGCCTCTTTCTAGCACAGGGAGGGCTCCTTTCACTTGGGAATTGCATCTTCTGCTTTTAAGAAACAGCATGAAGGTCAAAGTAATCTTTTTTGCATCTACTGCATTTTGAGTGCCCTTAACTTCGGTAGTCAAAGTGCCAGAAGAGCGTATTTTGGCTCCTTCACCCCCACCCCCAACATGGGCACCAAAGAAATCTTTCCAGCCCCAAGTCAGGTGGCTGCTCTCTCATGTGAAGCCATTTGGGGGCTTCCCGCTGCACCCAGAAGATCCCTGCAGACCTGTCTGCACCCCCTGACTCTCATCTCTCCTGTGCCTCGGGACCCCTGGCCTTGGGCTCTTCTCTCCTTGCCATCTTCCTGCCTTCTAGTACCTGCTTCTGCACAGGCGTTCTGCCCTCCTCATTTGCTCCCTTGCTTTCTTGCGGCCTCAGGTCAAATATCATGATTCTCACCTAATGCCTGCTCTTCTTTTCCTCTAAGACAATGATGAACATTTATACTTTTGTCTTTAGTTTGGGGTTAACTTTTTTTTTTTTCTTTTGAGACAGGGTCTCTCACTCTGTCCCTCAGGCTGGAGTGCAGTGGCGTGATCTCAGCTCACTGCAATCTCCGCTTCCCAGGCTTAAGCAACTGTCCTGCCTCAGCCTCCTGAGTAGCTGGAATTACAGGCACCCGCCACCATGCCGAGCTAATTTTTGTATTTTTAGTAGAGACAGTGTTTCACCATGTTGGCCAGGCTGGTCTCGAACTCGTGACCTCAAGTGATCCACAAGCCTTGGCCAAGGTGCTGGAATTACAGGCATGAGCCACCATGCCTGGCCTGGGGTTAACTTTTTAAATGTTTGTCTCACCTGCGCCTCTTTCTTCAGACTGCATTGCACGAGGGTGGGGCTGTATCTGCCTTGTTCATCTTCATAACCCTAGAGCCTCATTCCTGCTAGTTCCCAATAAATACACTGAACAAACGGAACCCCAAAAGGCACTTATGAAAATAACCAGCAGCTTATTGAAATTAAAACCTAAACTCAAGATTGTAATAGGAAAAGAATGAAATGAACTAATTGTCATTAAATAATAGCAAAATAAATTGTTAAAATGATATTCTTGAAGAATTTTTTATGACATGAAAATTGATTTGGGATATATTATTAAATGAAGAAAGAGAGTTACAAAAGTATGTGGCAATCTGAGTTAATTTTGTAAAAAAAAAATCGAATAATTTATGTAGGTGCAGAGAGGGGTCTGGAAATAAAGGCACACAAAACCTTCACAGTAGCTGTCTCCATGCAGTGAGGTAATAGAAGCCTTTTACTTTTTTTTTTGAAAAAAATTGCTTGTCTTTATTTTCTCAAACATGCATTGCTATAGTAATGAAAAAATAATGAATGTTATTTTTAATTAAAAAATACTAAAGCAAACTAGCTTTCTCTGTGTTTAAACAGTATGGAGCTATACTCCATTTAGAAAGGATGTTTATTTCACAGCCTCTGTTGTGGGGAAGTATGTAAGGTAATTTGGAACTCAGTTTCCAGCGGGACCTGTCGAGGTGGAAGTCCTACACCTTGCAGCAGCATCAGAGCACCTTCCAGACACCCTCCCCCTGGCCCCTACACGCCTGACTGGAAACATAATCCTGGCTCCATAAGGTGTGGGCTTATTTTATTTCTCAGAGCATAGTTCAGCCCATTTCTGAGAAGATGCTGCACACAATTCCATTGTCTGGATGCTCTAGTAATGTGCCTGTTACTGGCTATCACTTGAGGACTAAGCAATTGTGAGCACTTGCCACCACCCAGCTGGTGGGGACACTGGAATACCTGGGGAAGAGGAGTGCACAGGCACCCTGCCACATCCTCCCCTCCTGATGCCCAGGTGTGCCCCAGCCAGTCTCAGGTCCCCTGGGGCCCAAGGCATAGCAGGGCAGTAACGCCTCTGAGTAATGCGGGTCTCATGCCGTGTCCTGAAGGAACACACCTGAGATACGGCCGACTGGAGTGCGTTGCACATTTGCTTCTTTTTAGTCACCAGGAAGGAGTAAATTATGAGGGAGGGTCGGAGTTCTGCAGAGCACCGAGGGCCACATGGGGAAGGCGTTCTTGTTTCTAGAGGCCGCTTTAACCAGACCCACTTGGGGGCCCCGTGGCGATTTATTTCCATACATCGCGGCAGGCTCACCTTCAAAGGAGTTTTATGATGTTGAAACAACCAGTCTGACAAAAAGACATTGTAATCTGTGGACTACTTTTTGTCACTTTAACCAATTACAATTTTATGTAGCTAGATCTTCATCAGTAATTTTCTTAGAGTTTGAAAGACAAAATGCCACATCCGTTTACCGGGCCTCGTTTTATGCCGTGATTCTCTTGCTGTCTTCGAAGGCACTGTCATCATTCTGTCTTCTAGATGATCTTAGAATTCATGTAATTGTCGGGGGCTTCCCCAAACATAGTGGCTGGCAGTGAGTTGCCATAGCTGACACATTCCGGGAATCCTCATTAGCTGGGAAAGGTGGACGATGTTTGTCTTCCACATTCCAGTGCCGGGGAGAAAGCTCCTTTTCAGAGAGAGCGGACCTGGCATGCTTGCACCGCAGCCACGTCACCCCGGGCCGTTCAACAAAGCAAGCGGCCCGTGCACCGGGGTCCAGGCTGATCACCGGCGGCCGGCCGCCTGGAAGGGGGCGCTGGGCCAGTCTCTGTGGGCTTGGGTGTGGTCAGCCTGTCCCCAGCTCCTGGGTTCGGAAGGTATTTTGGAATTTTGGTGATAGCTGAACTGCTTCTTACCAGCTGGGAGAGGGATCTGAGGGCGTGCTGAGGAAGACCCGATGGAGAGCTCCGCTCACAGCGATGCCATTAGGTTCTCACCGCCGCCACCAGACGCAGTGGAACACAGTGAGCTTCGAGAACTCCAAACGTCTTTCTTTTTTCCTTTTAATCTATAAAATGGGAAGCGTTGCGTTCACGAGTCCATAAACGAATTTCTAGCGCTCCCTGGAGTTTGTTTAGACAGCACATTGCATGTTCGCAGTATTTGTCCTTCTCTTCCGGATTGGGTTCTGTTCGGTTGTCCTTGGTGTGTATTTCAGCGACATGGTTTTGAAGCCGCTTGTCTTCCCAGCACATTCACAATCGTGATGCCATCGGAGCCCAGGGCCTTGTCCGCACGTGGCAGCACAGCACGGCAGAGGCTGCAGGGCTGAAGCCTGCGCAGCGGCGCTGGTGTCCGAAGGCGCAGGGGAAGGGCAGCCCCTCTGGCAGCCGCCGCACAGGCCGTCCCGGGGCAGCAGGACCCGAGCAGAGACCACGAGGCCAACGCCAGCAGCTCGGGAACTCACCGAGACGAGACTTAGATGCCAAGGGTTGGTAAAGAGTGTCAACGCCCAGACCGTGGAACCATTCCTGTTTTAACTATAGATGTAAAAGTCTAAATTAAGAATTGGCAACTAATGTCCAGCCATGAGTCCCCCGCATTACATACTTCTAAATACATAATTTTAGGACTGTAAAGTGATTCACTATTAGGATGTCTCCACGTAATTCCGTGTATCGTCCCATTTAAGAAGAAAACATATGCTCGTATCAATAAATGTTAAAGACATTTGATAAAACTTAGCAGATATTCCAAATAACATATCTAAGCAAATCAGGATAAGGGGAAATAATTTAAATTTGAAATAAATAACTTGTACAAAAGACACCGCAGATGTTATTCTACATGGTGAAATGCTAAACTCACTTCTACTAAAACTGGGAACCAGACAGGGATATTTACTGTCATTACCATTATTTGATATTTTTAAAGGTAAGAAAAGAAAATAATCATTAAAATACTTGGAAAGAAGAGATAAAATTATCCTTTTTGCTAATGACGTAAGAACCTATCTATAAAATCAAAAAATACTCTAATTAAAAAGAAACTATTATAACTAATAAAATAATTTGGTAAAGCAATTAGATATGGCATATGTAGAAATCAAGTTTTCTCTCTGCTAGTAATAACTAACTAGAAATGAGAATAAGAAAAAACATTATTCCATTAAAAAATAACAGCAATTAATATACTCAAATTCATTTAATCAGAAAGATATGGGACCTTTCTGAGGAAATTCCAGAAATCTATAGAAGGATATAAAATAAGATCTCAACAAATGGAAAGATATATTATTTTTAATATAAAATTAAATATCATAAAGATGTCAGTTCTGTCAAAGTTAACATATTCATTTATGCAATTCCAATTAAAATTTTTTCCCCTCAAAATAATGATCTCAAAGTAGAAGAATGAAATTATCACTAAGGAGTGTGGTGAAACGTGCTAGCCTTACCAGACATTGAAACATACTTTAGAGCCACTGAAATCAAAACCGTATGGTACTGGTATAGGGAAAGATTGACATTTAAGTGAAAAAAATATTGAAATCCTAGAAATAGAAGCTTGACAAAGGAGTACTTAAATTCAGTGAGAAAGGGATACACTTTGTAGTAAACGTGCTGGTACAACTGGCTCTCTGCTAAAATAAAATTTGCTTGGATTCTATCTGACATGACACGAAGAGTACTAAATGGATTGATTATTTAAAGGCAAAAATTTATTGTAAAACAAAATTAGAGTGGTGATATGATAGATTTAAGGTGGCAGGGTCTTTATAAGCAAGGCGGTAAATCCAGGAGCCATAAAAGAAGTGATAAACATTTCTAATTAAAAATACTATTATTAATTTAACAAGAGCATTTTAAAATGAAATACTTTTCATCAGGCAAAGTTATCACACACATACTCAACTGACAAAAGACTGAGGAAAAACATTGTACTCCAGGGGAGTTAAATGATTCAGTTAAAAGGGAGAGAAAGAGTTAAACTTTACAAACAGTGTATATTTGCACATTGATAACAATAGTGTAAGCAAACCAAGAGAACATATGCAAAAAGTACCAATAAATACAGATCAGCAAGTCCACATGGCCTATAAACATATGGAAAAGATATTCAACCTCTGTCTCAAGAGAAATTCAAAGTGATGGATTTCACAACATACCTATCACTGTGGAAAATAAAAAAAGCTGGCCAAGATGTAAGAAAACGGCACTCTCACAAATTTTTAGTGGAAATGTGAATTGTTTCATCCTTCTTGGAAAGCAATTTGGAACCTTCTATAAACATTTAAACTACTCGTCTATATCCTTGACATAGCAATGCCAATTTTAGGAACCTATTTTACAGAAATAAAATATCAGACTCTAAGTATATAAGAGTCTTCCTTGCAGTACTATTCATACTTACTAATATCAAACCCAAAGTAGGTACCCATTAATACAAAAATGGTTAAATAAAATATGATACACTTATACAATGGAATATTACACAGTTACCCAATAACTTGGAGAGAATCACACTATGAACTGTTAAGTGAGAAAGTTAACACTGGGAGAAGCTTACTAATACACAATATAATTTTTCTGAAGGAAACTGTAGTGGGTTGAATTATGGTCCCCAAAAGATATGTTCAAGTCCCAAGTCCCAGTAACTGTGAATGTGACCTGATTTGGAAATGGCATCTTTGCAGATATACGTAAGGATCTCGAAATGAGGTCAACCTGAATTTTGGGTGGGGCATAAATCCAATTACTAGTGTCTTCTTAACTGAAAGTAGGAGGAGGCTTGGAACACAGATATATGGAGAAAGAAGGCCATGAGAAGATGAAGATGGAGGCAGAGGTTGGAGTGACGGATCTGCAAAGACCGCCTAGGGTTGCTGGCCAATGTCAGAATCTAAAAGAAAGGCATGGGAACAAACTTTCCTCAGAGCTCCCAGAAGGAACCAACCTTACCAAAACCTTGATTCCAGACCTCTGGCCTTCTTCACTGTGAGAATACATTTCTGTTCTCTTAAGCTACGTAGTTTGTTGAAATTTGTTGCAGCACCCTTACAGAAACTAAGCCCAACACCCTATTTGTATATGTGATCATCTATGCAGATATACGGATGATAGACAGGTGGAAAATGGATGGAAGAAGGCACCCGCCAGGTTGTTAACCTCAGACATCTGTGCCAGTGGGAAGCTGGACAAGGGATGCTGCTGGAGGAGAGGGATGGAGGGAAGGGAACATCTGGCAAGGGCAAGCATCAAAGGACAAACTAAGAGCTGAGCCCCAGATATGGGATCCGTGCAAGATCTAGAACTGAGCCAGAACTACCTCCTTGAACATAATAGCCAAAAGGGATATAGCTAGTTCTTTAGAGTAAAGGAAATAGAAGTTGACACAGTAACCTCTGTGCATTCTTTCTTTTGGTAGTAGATTGATACGCAGAGTAAAATGTATAAGATTCTCATTGAAAACATTCTTGTGTCTTAGATACATTTGTGCACTTCTGTCTTAGATACATTTCATGTCTCTATGTATCATATCTCCATCTGTCTGTCTTCCTAACTTCCAGACAATTCCTGAGATTATTTACCCATTTGCAGAGACAAATGAGGTGATCCAGCCCCTGCATTTCTTTTTTTTTTTTTTTTGTATTTGAAGATCTGCTGGTAATTTCTTTTTTTTTATTATTATACTTTAAGTTTTAGGGTACATGTGCACAATGTGCAGGTTTGTTACATATGTATACATGTGCCATGTTGGTGTGGTGCACCCATTAACTCGTCATTTACATTAGGTATATCTCATAATGCTATCCCTCCCCCTTCCCTCCACCCCACAACAGGCCCCGGTGTGTGATGTTCCCCTTCCTGTGTCCATGTGTTCTCATTGTTCAATTTCCACCTGTGAGTGAGAACATGCAGTGTTTGGTTTTTTGTTCTTGTGATAGTTTGCTGAGAATGATGGTTTCCAGCTTCATGCATGTCCCTACAAAGGACATGAACTCATCATTTTTTATGACTGCATAGTATTCCATGGTGTACGTGTGCCACATTTTCTTAATCCAGTCTATCATTGTTGGACATTTGGGTTGGTTCCAAGTCTTTGCTATTGTGAATAGTGCTGCAATAAACATACCTGTGCATGTGTCTTTATAGCAGCATGATTTATAATCCTTTGGGTATATACCCAGTAATGGGATGGCTGGGTCAAATGGTATTTCTAGTTCTAGATCCCTGAGGAATCGCCACACTGACTTCCACAATGGTTGAACTAGTTTACAGTCCCACCAACAGTGTAAAAGTGTTCCTATTTCTCCACATCCTCTCCAGCACCTGTTGTTTCCTGACTTTTTAATGATTGCCATTCTAACTGGTGTGAGATGGTATCTCATTGTGGTTTTGATTTGCATTTCTCTGATGGCCAGTGATGATGAGCATTTTTTCATGTGTCTTTTGGCTGCATAAATGTCTTCTTTTGAGAAGTGTCTGTTCATATCTTCACCCACTTGTTGATGGGGTTGTTTATTTTTTTCTTGTAAATTTGTCTGAGTTCATTGTAGATTCTGGATATTAGCCCTTTGTTGGATGAGTAGATTGCAGAAATTTTCTCCCATTTTGTAGGTTGCCTGTTCACTCTGATGATAGTTTCTTTTGCTGTGCAGAAGCTCTTGAGTTGAATTAGATCCCATTTGTCAATTTTGGCTTTTGTTGCCATTGCTTTTGGTGTTTTAGACATGAAGTCCTTGCCCATGCCTATGTCCTGAATGGTATTGCCTAGGTTTTCTTCTAGGGTTTTTATGGTTTTAGGTCTAACATTTAAGTCTTTAATCCATCTTGAATTAATTTTTGTATAAGGTGTAAGGAAGGGATCCAGTTTCAGCTTTCTACATATGTCTAGCCAGTTTTCCCAGCACCATTTATTA
This sequence comes from Homo sapiens, assembly GCF_000001405.40. NCBI lineage: Eukaryota > Metazoa > Chordata > Mammalia > Primates > Hominidae > Homo > Homo sapiens. Next base: position 163,977,241 of record NC_000006.12, read on the forward strand.
AATAGGGAATCGTTTCCCCATTTCTTGTTTTTGTCAGGTTTGTCAAAGATCAGATGGTTGTAGATATGCAGCATTATTTCTGAGGGCTCTGTTCTGTTCCACTGGTCTATATCTCTGTTTTGGTACCAGTACCATGCTGTTTTGGTTACTGTAGCCTTGTAGTATAGTTTGGAGTCAGGTAGCGTGATGCCTCCAGCTTTGTTCTTTTGGCTTAGGATTGTCCTGGCAATGCGGGCTCTTTTTTGGTTCCATATGAACTTTAAAGTAGTTTTTTTCCAATTCTATGAAGAAAGTCATTGGTAGCTTGGTGGGGGTGGCATTGAATGTATAAATTACCTTGGGCAGTATCAGCCACTGCATTTCTTAACAGAGGAAGACAGAAAGTTGAGGACAACAGAAAAGCCAGCTACAAAACAATCACAAACCTAGAAGAAATCTTCAAGAATCTTGTATCTGTATTTTTTTTTTCTGCTTCTAAAGATAACCTTGGCTGCAAAGTGTCAGGGGCTCTGCTCTGTTAATAATGTACTCCTGGGAAGCTTCCTCTGCACACCCTCACACTGGTGGTGCAGGTGGGCCCTAGGTGAGATGGTCACACTGCACTTCCTGCCATTTGGAGCTCCTCTCTTCCCTCTGAACCCAGGACTCCCTCATGAAACCCAGTGCTCCTTGCTTCTCGCCTGTTAAATAAGTAGGACAGACTCTAAACCAGGGCTCTGAAATGCAAATGACCCGCAAGGTGATGGGAACGGGGGTGGATCGAAGCAACATATTACCGGACATGTGAAGATACATGTCAATTTCACCTGGCCTCTGAAGGACCCGGGAACTGGGACAAAGAGGAACATTTCTTGCTGGGTTTCTTGCCGGGTTTCTTGCCACAAGGGAATGGGATACCGTGTTGCCTGGGTTTTCAAGAAAAGGGGAAATTTGAATGTTTGTGTGATGTCTCTCAATGTATAACTACTGACAACTATTTCAAAATTTTAAAAGTCCTGTGTGGGTTACAATCAAAAGATGTCGAGGACAGGAGTTTTTCTAAGGTCACCTGTTTGTCACCTCTGAAATATGAAGATATTTTTATTCATTTCTTGCTAAGTGACTTCTTAAGATCTCTTATAAACTAATTCACACCAAGCTATTACCTGCTTAGTGTCTGGCTGCTTTCAGGGTTCCTTGCATCTTGGCAACTAATCCTTTTTGTTCTCAAATTTCCCAATCTTTTCAGAGTGAGGGAAGTTCCTCAAAGAAATAACATTCATTTTTATATTTTTGTCTTATAAAGTGAAAATTCCTTTTATTTTTAACTCCAAAGACATATTTCAGAGTCCCACAAGGTAATAATTATTCTGCAAGTACCTTTTGAGTAAAAAAATACAGAATATCAAAAGTCTATTAAAAATAATAGCAGTATGTTTAAATAAATTTATATTTTAGTAATTTCAACATTATGCTTTTTAAAGTTTATCAAGCTTTAGCTTCCAGCTTAGATAAGGTAACAAGGACTGAATTTACCCTTTTGTCTGAAACAACCAATAAAACCAGACAAAGTATATGTAACAATAGGTTTCAAATCACTGGGCATCAGGCAGCAAAGGACAGAGATCCCTGAGAGGTAGAAACAATTAAGATGAGTCCCACAATTGATTTTCAAAAGACACTATAAAGAGAATGAGTGCATGGGCCACAGACGGGGGCAGGGGAAACCATATCAGATCCAAGCAAGGCTTGTATCTGAAAAAAGGTTCATACCTACAATATATTAAGGACTACCAAAACTCAATAATAGGAAGACAAATAATCCAATTTAAAAATGGAAAAAATATTTGAATAGATACTTTGTCAAAGAAAATACAGAGATAGCAAGTAAGCACATAAAAGATACTCAGTGGCATTAGTGGTTAGAGAAAAATTAAATCCATAATAAGCTATACATTTTCACTCTACATCTAGTGAAAATGGCTAAAATTAACAACTGACATTATCAAGTGTTGGCAAGTATGTGGAGGAACTAGAGCTCTCCAGTCAGCTGGAGGGAATGTGAAATGGTGCAACAACATTGGAAAAAATTTTGCAGTTTCTTAAAAAGTTAAACACACGGCCAGGCATGGTGGCTCATTCCTGTAATCCCAGCACTTTGGGAGGCTGAGATGGATGGGTCACGAGGTCAGGAGATCAAGACCATCCTGGCTAACACAGTGAAACCCCATCTCTACTAAAAAAAATACAAAAAAAAAAAAAAAATTAGCCAGGAGTGGTGGCGGGTGCCTGTAGTCCCAGCTACTTGGGAGGCTGAGGCAGGAGAATGCCGTGAAACCAGGAGGCAGAGCTTGCAGTGAGCTGTGATCGTGCCACCGTACTCCAGCCTGGGCGACAGAGCGAGACTCTTGTCTCAAAAAAAAAAAAGTTAAACACATACTTATATGACCCAGACCTTTGACTTATGGGTATTTCTTTAAAAGAAATAAAAGCTTATATTTGTATGAAGATGTATAACAATGTTCATAGGTTTATTTATAATAATACAAAACCAGAAACCAAATTGTGGTACATCTCTACAATAGAATACTTTCAGCAATAAGAAATGAACTAATGATACATGCTATAACATGGATTTCAAATAATTATTCTTTTTTTTTTTTTTTTTTTTTTTTTGAGACAGAGTTTTACTTTGTCACCCAGGCTGTAGTGCAGTGGTGTGATCTTGGCTCACTGCAACCTCCACCCCTGCCAGGTTTAAACAATTCTCGTGCCTCAGCCTCCTGAGTAGCTGAGATTACAGGTGCCCTCCACCATGCCTGGCTAACTTTTGTGTTTTAGTGGAGATGAGGTTCCACTATGTTGGCCAGGCTGGTCTTGAACTCCTGACCTCAAGTGATCCACCCGCCTTGGCCTCCCAAGGTGTTGGGATTACAGGCGTCAGCCACCCCCTGTAATCCCGGGGTCATGTAATTATTCTGAGCAGAAGTCAACCAAAGAAAAACATGATTCCATTTATATAACATTCTAGAAAATGCAAACTAATCTATTGTGAAAGAAAGCAGTTCAGTTGCTTGGAGACAGGAGTGGGAATAGGAAGGGGAGAAGGAGGAGTAAGAGGAAGAGATTGTAAAAGGCGATGTCCCATCCATGATGAATGAATAAACAAGATGTGGTACATACAGACAGTGGATGTTGTTCAGCCTTAAAAAGGAAGGACATTCTGACCCACGTGACAACCTGGATGAAACTTGAAGACATTATGCTAAGTAAAAGAAGGCAGTTACAAAGAGACAAATATTGCACGTGCCTTAGTCGGTTTAGGCTGCTATAACAAAATGCCTTACACTGGGCAATTTGTAAACAACAGGAACTTATTGCACACAGTTCTGGAAGCTGGGAGGTCCAAGATCAAAGTGTGAGTAGATTCAGTGTCTGGTTCAGGCAGGCTCTGTCTTTTTAACGATGGTGCCTTTTTTTTCCCTTTTTTTTTTTTTTCTTGCAAGGGGTGAGACAGAGTCTCGCTCTGTCACCCAGGCTGGAGTGCAGTGGCATGAACACAGCTCACTTGCAGCCTTGACCTCCTGGGCTTGAGCAATCCTCCCATCTCAGCCTCCCAAGTAGCTGGGACCACAGGCAGGTGCCACAATGCCCGGCTAATTTTTGTAGAGACGGAGTCTCGCCATATTGCTCAGGCTGACCTCAAACTCCTGAGCTCAAGCCATCCACTCACCTTAGCCTCCCAGAGTGCTGGGATTACAGGTGTGAGCTGGCCCCAAAGATGATGCCTTCTTGCTGCATCCCCGCATGGTGAAAGAGGGGGATAACCTCCCTCATGCCTCTTTTATCAGGGCACTAAGTGCGTTCATGTGGGTGCAGTCCTCATGACCTCAGTACTTCCCAATAGCCCCATCTTTAATACTTTCACACTGGGGATTGGGTTTCTACATATTAATTTTTTGGGGGACACAAGCATTCAGATCATAGCAGTATGATTCCACTTCTGTGAGGCATCCAGAGGAGTCAAATTCATAGAGTCAGAGAATAGAATGGTAGTTACTAGGGGCTGTGGGAGAGGGGAATGGGGTTTCGTTTAATGGGGACAAAGTTTCAGTTTGGGAAGATAAAGTCCTGTGGTGGATGGTGGTGATGGCTGCTCGACAACGTGAATGCACTGAACGCCGCTGAACTGCATATCCCCAAAATGGCGAAAATGGTAAATTGTGTGGTATGTAGATTTTGCCACAATAAAAAAGGAGCACATGAAGCCACATTTGGGGGTAATGGCAGAGCTGGCTGCACAATTTGTGGGACCCAGCACAGAATGAGAATGCAAGTCCTGTTATTAGAAAATTATTGAGAATTCCAAGATGCTAGCGCAGAGCCTTCACTCAAGCATGGTGCCCGTCTGCATGTGGGCTCCTGGGCAGGTGCTCAGGTCACACATCCTCGAAGCCTGCCTAGCTGGCAGATCCATCCACTGTCTTGGTGACAGTGATGATTTCCTGGGAGTATACATAAGTCAAAACTTCTCAAAGCAGAAACTTGACGTGGATATAGTTTATTGTTTATCAATAAACTCAATACCTCAATACCGCTGTTTAAATAGGAGCAACAAAAAGCCTGTCTTTGGAAAAGAGAGGTGCCTATATGAGTAAGGCAGGCTTTATTCACACTGCTGTTTTTTGTGGATGTGAGTTCATCCCTCTTCTGCTAATTGTTCACTCATCAATAAATTAGGACTCTTTGTTTTGATTGAAAAGAAAAGATTTTGGGAAGGAACCACAGTTAAAAACGTGGGCTTGGTGTGAGAAGATTGCTCCACGAATTTCGAACTCTGTGACCTTGAACAGGTCCAAGATTCTCACCTTCTAAATCAGCTTGACTTCACCGGGCAGCTGGGAAGATTTAATGAGGTAGAAATGCCTAACGTGCCCAACATGGTGCCTGCCATTTGTGCTTCAGGAGTAATTCGTAAGAATGCACCGGTGGATCTTTCCCTGGTGCCGTGAGAGGCTTTTGGATATATTCTTTAAATCTCAGCTGCAGGTGCTCTCCTTAGCATAGCGTAGCGTTTATACCAGACCCTGGTTCCGCCACTAACCAGCTGTGCAATCTTGGAAATCCTACTAATTTCCAGACTTTCAGTTTCCTCATCTGTGCAGCAACTAGAATAATGGTACCTACTGATGTGAGAATGAAATGAAATAATATATGTAAAACATTTAGAGATTGGCACAGAGGTGCTATCTGTGGATTAGCCATTATCCTATTGTCTGTGGATAAATTCTGCTTTGCCCCACACATAGTTTGTTTTTTAGCATAATTTCCCAAATAAACTACTAATGATTCAGAGAATTAGGCCTGTAGATCTCCATTTTCTCAACTTGTTTCACTTTTTAATTAAAAAATTAACTCTATAAAAAAGATCAGACCAACAGGAGATCGAGAACATCCTGGCTAATATGGTGAAACCCCGTCTCTACTAAAAATACAAAAAATTAGCCGGGTGTGGTGACGGGCACCTGTAGTCCCAGCTACTCGGGAGGCTGAGGCAGGAGAATGGCGTGAACCCGGGAGGCAGAGCTTGCAGTGAGCCGAGACCGCACCACTGCATTCCAGCCTGGGCGAGACAGTGAGACTCCATCTCAAAAAAAAAAAAAAAAAAAAAAATCAGACCAAGGTAGTTAAATAATAAAATGCCCAATTGTTTGAATTCTAACAGAAATAATGGAGGGCTTGAAAATAAATGGGTGAATGTTGCATGTTTGATGTTTAATCAATAATAAAGTGTTTATAGGGAGAGGACTGATCCTACAGTTACTTGAAAACGCAGCTAATGAAAGGATTCGTAGAAGCAGAAACAGCTAGAGATTTTATGCTTTTTATTTTTCTGATGCTTTGTTTAGTATAGTTTCTGTAATTCTGATAAAAGTTCTTTTAAAAACTCATTTAAATGTCTCTTTAACAGAGTGGGAGTTGCAAATGCTCTAATAATTTTTACTACTTTCATATTTAAAAATAATATGCCCTCTAAACATTTACATTCAAGATTTGTTTCTCCTCGGATGGGTAAATAATGCATAGTAATTTGCATCTCATGCATAAATCTCACTCTGCTGAATAAAAATATTCCAGAAGGTTCCTTCTCTTCTCTATTTTCCTGCTGATGGTAGTTTAGTTGAATAATATTTCTGGAGAAGTGGGAAAGGGGAGGGGCATTGGCGGTTAGAAAACTAATCTCTTATTACTGCTTTCTTGCAATCAGTGGTAGGGAATTCAGAACTGAATAACGAGACCAGTCTTTTACAAGACGAATACAAATATTTCAAACTTTAATCGTTTCCCAGGTGAACACACTAAATACGTCTTTTGTTAGTGACGTGTAGATGCTGCCTGTGTGGGGATTTATCCAGAATGAATTTGCCCCTCAGGTTCCTTGCAGAACAATAGCAGCACAACTTAAATCAATTCCAATCCTCTGGTGCCCCAGAAATAAGGCAGTCATCCAGCAAGCCCTGGGAGACTGAACGAGCCTCGCTGAGCCCGCTTCCTGGAATCCCAGGTCATCAGTGCTTCACGTCGCTGGGACATTGAGCTACAAGAGGCTCTCCTCGGTTCCGCATTGATCATGTTGTCTGGTTAAACTCTGAGGCTTGTTTTCTACTGTGAATTTCCCGCACCACTGGTTTCTTGTCTACTGATCATTTGCTGGGTCTCAGCCTGGTAAAAAGACATCTCGGGAGAGTCTCACGTCCATCATCAAATGTGACTAAAATATTGCAGTGAGTCATCTGCCCTTGGTACAACAGACTCTTTTCAGCAAATGTCTGGTAATATTTTGAATAAAAGATGCTGCACGAGAATAAATTGCAATGTTCTCTGCTTATGTTGCTATTTACATGCCATCTCCTTCTACCATTAGGAATTTGTCTTATTTACCATTTAGTGTTTTCTTCATATAAAATATGCAAAATCTGGTTTCCTAAAAGCATTTATTCAGTCTTGTTTTCTTCACTCATTCTCTAAAATTAATAAGTGTCCTTTGAGCACCTGCTCTGACTGGCGCTGTGTCAGGAAGTGAGAGGCACAGAGTAGGATCCGGTCTTCAGGAGAACGCTGACTTCTCCAAGGTGCAACACGTAGGTGTCAAACAGCTCAGTAACAGTGGCAGGCAGCACCCAGTGGACTACAAGCTGGTCCATGCTCTGAGACTGACTTGGAAGTGGAGAAATGTGTAGGGAATGGAGTAGTGAGAGAATCATAATAGATACTATGGTTAGAGAATAAAAGCAGAATGATGTCAATAGCAGTTAGCACTGAGCGATTACTAAGTGCCACGTACTGTGCAAAGTACCTTGTGCATCTGAACTTGATGATCCCCATTGAATCTGTGAAGCAGGCATTGCTGTTACCACTCTCTAGATGAGAAGGGGGTTCACGGAGGAGGGTGAGATTGAGCAGAATTTTAGAGAAGTAGAATTCACAGTGGTGGTCAGAAGGCATTTCCTGTGGGGAGCTGTGAACAGCATCAGCAACGAGTTGGCACTGAGAGTGTCTGGGACAATCAGACCAGCCTGGCTAGACAGAGGGGCCCCGTTTGGGGAGTGATGGGAGAGGAGGTTAGGCAGGTGGTAGTTGAGTTGGATGAGTAAGACCTCATGGAGCTGGCTTAGGAACTTGGACTTTATCCTTTTGGCCTAGAGATTTTTGGGAGGTATTTGGGTGGGTACTGACAAAATATAAGGTTACATGCAGCCATCAAATGGTTCCACGGTGTAATACCTCAACTGAAACATTATTTTCACCATTGAATTAATTTTTATTAGGTTCCTGTCAGGGTCTGGGTAGTTTGTAGAGGCAGTAGTAAGTACTCTAGAGTTTACTGTACCTTGGAGTTCCAGTCCAGTTTTCCCAGAAAACTGACCTGGTGGCCCCTCTACCCCTTCACACCCCTCCAACACATGCACAGCTGTGCCTGCACACACACCCACATGTACCACATGCATGCACGCACCCACACATCCTCACACAAACACACCCACACTCACCCCCCCCACACACCCACACTCACCCACACTCATCCACAAGAGCCAAACTGTCTCAAAAAAAAAAAAAAGAAAAAAAAAGAAAAGGGGGGCATATACTGCTTTTCTCTGGACAATACAAAGGACTGGGACTTGGGTAGTGAAAGAGGGAAGTGGCCTTTACCTGTAATTGTTTTTTTTTTTAAAGTGGGGGCTATGTGAATATATTACTAATTTATTTTTTGAAGCGCAGACACAGGAAAGAGTCTAAAAGCAAATAAGAGTAAATGTAATATTTATTAACTCCGGTGGGAACTTGGGTGGCGATCATCAAATTGTAATTTATCAAAAATGTATTTTTATCCAAGGGCTCTGGTGTCGTTAAGAAGTATCTGCGTTTGTTCCATCCAGGGTTAACTGTCTTCTTGGAGGAGGGAGAAAGTCAGGAGAGAGTAAGATTCAGTTTCTGTCTGTTTGAAAGAAGCCTCTCTGAGACTGCATTCAATCAGGAATCACTGTAAATATTGACTCGAGTATTTTTAAAAGGAGTCATATGTTTATGGAGAGGAAATGGCTGGCTGGTATGGATAAGTGCATGTTCTACTTTCTCGGGGCGCTGCGCCCTGGGGGAGCATCACTGAGACAACGTGCCAATTAACAGAACCACTGCCCATAGGTGGACGCCATCCAGTTTTCAGGCAGATGACCAAGGATTAATTGGCTGACCTGTACAGTGAGTCACACAAACCCAAACTTATCAGCTCTTGCGCCTGCTCTCGCTCCATTCTCAGTGTGGGCAGGAACAACCTGCTGTTTGCAGACTTCGATGCCCCTCCGCCCCAGCTAATTAGAGGCGAGCAGGTCACTAGCACTCCAGGCCTCTGTTGCCCAGCAGATTTTACAGTGGATGGATTTGGCCTTGACCTGCTGCGGAAGCTTTAGAAACCCAAGACTCTCCTCTGGTCTGCATTTATTTTCTGTCTCTCTGGATGGCCAAGATACTGCCTGCTCCTTTTGGCCTGAGTTGGATGCCTGTCCAGGGTCTCTTCCACCCCGTGAGGGCCCTGAGCCCTACAGAGTAGGCCTGGCTGCCCCCAAGTTGATGGGGCCAGCTCCCTGCTGTCTTCCTGCCTGGCCCACTACCTGGGGCCTAGGCTTGCTCCTGCTCTTGCTAGTCTTGTGTGGACCTTTCAGCTGATCTGGGTCAGGGCCAGGTGTCCCCTTATCTCTGCCTTATGACCAGCGTTAGAGTGGGGCCCTGACCTTGGATGATTCGCTCTCCTGGACTCCTGATGTGTGACGTACGTAGGGAGGAATCTACCCTGTCCCTGTTTGCCCTGTTCTGTCAGCCTATTTGTCCATTCTCTTGTGTGGTGCTCACCATGGTCATGCCTCACATGAAACAAGCGTGTTACACATTGGACCCTGACTTCCATCTTCTTAGGAGTGAATTGGACAAAACCTGTTCATTACTTACAATCATCACCAGCATTGTCTTTCTGAGTCTGTAGATAGAGAGTAGATGATGTTGGGAGCAGAAGGAGGAAAAGTTACCTTTCCATTACCATGAGAATCTAGTCCTCAGCCTTGCAAACTGGAATGTTACAAAGGGCTGGTGACTGTTACTGGGATTTAGGGTTATGCAGAATCATAAAATAGTAATAAGGCATTTACTTTTTTTTGCTCAAACTTAAAAATAATACCTGTTAAATGGGAAGACAAATGCATATATACATATACATGTTTATAGATTCTATTAAAACTGATTTTCTTAAAACACAGAGTACAGTTAGTACTGTCAGAAGTAAGAGAAAACTTTATATTTCAGAGAAAATATTTTTTTCAGGGAAACTTTAATGCATAATAATTTTTGGTTGAAAGTAACTTCTTGGGGAAGACATTCTAATTCCTAGAGTTAATCATCATCATTACTGCTCTGATTTTTCCAAGGTTTCCAGAGTTTTATTCCTGTAACTCTTATGACTGTGTTGTTAGAATAGATTTTTCCATTTGTAAACAAGATGTACTTTTTGTTTCTTTATTAAGCATTTGGTAAATAATATTTTTAACTTTAAGAGACTGCCCGTCTTGAAAGCCTTACCAACATTTCCATATCATCACCAACAGGCTTGGTCTGTGTCTTCCCTTCCTAATGAAAAACTCTGAGTCTTTTGTTGATTCCTGTTTGATTTGCATGACAAATCCCAGTTGCGGTTCATATATGGTCCTTCTGAAGAACAAAGTATGAAAGGCATTAATTTAAATAAATTTTGGTTTTGTAAAGCATGCTATTTTCATTTTTATTTATTTTTATTCTTATTTATTTATTTTTATTCATTTAATTTTTTAAGATGGGGTCTTGCTCTGTCACCCAGGCTGGAGTGAGTGCAATGGTGCTATCTTGGCTCCCTGCAGCCTCCATCTCTGAGGCTCAATCAGTCCTCCCACCTTAGCCTCCTGAGCAGCTGGGACTACAGGCGCACGCCACCACACCCAGCTAATTTTTGTATTTTTTGTAGAGACTGGATTTTTCCATGTTGCCAAGGCTGGTTTCAAACTCCTGGGCTCAAGCCATCCTCCTGCCTTAACCTCCCAAGTACTGGGATTACAGGTGTGAGCCACTGTGCCAGACCAAGCATGATATTTTTAAATTGGAATACTTTGTGTGAGTTATGCACAAATGAGGGCTTTACAAAAACAATACTTGCAACACACCAGGTATTACCTATGAGATGCTTAATGCATCATCTTATTAGTGCAGTGTGAAGTTAAGGGTGCAGGTTTGATCTTTCTGCTGACAGATGAACAACAGCAGGACATGGATTTCCAAGCACTGACAGAAACACTGATGCTTGATTAAGCAAACTCCATCGAGCATTATTTCTCTGTTTTCTAGAAAAGCAACTTTCGGCCGGGCGCCGTGGCTCACACCTGTAATCCCAGCACTTTGGGAGGAGGAGGCGGGCGGATCACGAGGTCAGGAGATCCAGACCATCCTGGCTAACACGGTGAAACCCCGTCTCTACTAAAAATACAAAAAATTAGCCGGGCGTGGTGGCAGGCGCCTGTAGTCCCAGCTACTCGGGAGGCTGAGGCAGGAGAATGGCATGAACCTGGGAGGCAGAGCTTGCAGTGAGCCGAGATTGCGCCACTGCACTCCAGCCTGGGTGACAGAGCGAGACTCCGCCTAAAAAAAAAAAAAAAAAAAAAAAAGCAACTTTCTAGGGAACTGATACAACTTCCTTTTTCTCTGTCAACCACAGCAGCTTATTCTGATGATACAGAGAACACTATATATTTTCAATGGGTCTATCTTCTATTTTTGTATGGTTTAGCTGCAACTCATGTTTATGAATTTTTGCTTGTTTTCTCTGAATTAGAACCCCAATTTTATTACAAGTGGATTTGAATGGGATTCTATAGTTCCACTGTAGACAGATTCAAAAGAATGTGGCTGAAAGAGAGAGAGGTACACATAGGCTCCCCTTACTCTATTTGCTGTTGATTTCATTGCTTTATGCTCATTTAGCCTGTTTTAAATATGATTCATTAATGCGAGCTGCAACTGAAGTAAGTGCTCTGCTGTGCAAGTTGTTAGCCATGTTCATTGAACAGCGTTAGGTGTTTTCTACCCCAAAGGAAGCTAAATTCTGTCGTTGCCGTGTCTAGCTCTTACTGAGAAAGTTTGCAGACATCCGTGAGCTCCGTAATCAAACTCTCTTCTGTACTCACTGATGGGTAGTAATTACATTTTTGTGGGATGGCAAGATACAACCTGTGAGAACTCAGGTTAATTATATTTTTTCTGCTGTGTTCTCTAATAACACCAGTGTTTTAGTCACCGCAACCTTTTTATGTGAGAGGTCCTTTGAGACTTGAAATTGGCAACAAGAAAATAACCTGTCTTCTTTTCAACAATAATTGTGGAGATCATGTAGAATAAAGGCGTGGCCCAAAAAGGGCAGCCTGGGCCTCGCAGCGACCCTTCCCATAGTGGTCTTATTCTCAGAGAGTCTGCACCGTAGCATCGACGACATTGATAACATGTCCTCATTTAGTTCCCCTTCTTAATGATAATCTGGAAATCTTACATGCCTAAAACCAAGCCTAATGGATTGTCAAGAAGCTGCAATAATGTCATTTTATTCCATTATTATAATTTGTTTTCAGGAGGCATATTTTTAATTATTTGCATGAATAATATCATTATGTATTCATGCCAATACAATTCTGATAATTAATTTACATGATGGAAATTTCTTAATGATTTTGATGTCAGTGTTAATAGCAACATCTGATAGTCAATATACGGATGTTGACATAAATTTGACTTTTAATATATTGTTGCCAACACCAGCAGCAGTATAAAATTACTTCGCAAGGAAAGGAAAAAATCCAGTGGGGAAGAACTTCAATGAAAAAGAAAGCGAACCTTGCCCGGGGTTCATGGGCCCAGAACAAAATCCATGCACTCGGATGTGACAAGTGACTTACTTGGACATAGACTGGTGCAAATGAGCCTGTCAAAAGTTCGTAGCTTCCTATGAAAAGAGATTGCTGTGAAAATATAGTTATCTGCTGGAAGAAGTGACTCTTGCAGCTACTTGTTTTTGTTTTCGTATATTTGTTAAGTCTCTTGAAAAGTTTTTGATGCCTTTTGTGTGCTACTTTTGTATTTTGTCTTTGATTGCTAATTTACATTTTCTAAAAAAACTTTAATGGAAAATGATGTGCCCTTGTTATTTCAATTTACAGAACAAAAAACATTGTGTGTCCAAGAAAATGTCTACTTTCATCTGTTTCAGTCAGTTAAATGGCTGAGGTGCTAAACTCCCTTATGGGAGAATAGACCCTTTTAATTATGTTATCTTCCCCTCAGGTAACCCACGTAGGAGGACTCTACAGAAAAGACACTCTTCAGCTGGGTGTGGTAGCTCATGCCTATAATTCAGTGCTTTGGGAGGCTGAGGCAGGCAGATCGCTTGAGTCCAGGAGTTTGAGACCAGCCTAGGCAATGAGGCAAAACCTCATATCTACAAAAAGTACCTGGGTGTGGTGGTGTGCACCTGTGGTCCCAGGTACTTGGGAGGCTGAGGTGGAAGGATCCCTTGAACCTGGGAGGTGCAGGTTGCAGTGAGCTAAGATTGCACCACTGCACTCTGCCCTGGGCGACAGAGCAAGACCTTGTCTCAGGAAAAAAAAAAAAAAAAAAAAAAAAGACACTCTTTTTACACAGGTGAGGTAATTTTAGTCTCAGAATGTTCATCTTAAAGTTGAGAGCTGTAAACAGCACATAGGACCCCTCCCACTCAGATTCATGTTCACATTCATATTCATGTGTGTGTATATATCTCTATCTAGATGTGTATATGTGTTTGTATTTATATATATTACATATATGTTATATATATCCATATATACACACAGACATCTAGTATCTTTTTTTTTTTTGAGATGGAGTCTCGCTCTGTCGCCAGGCCGGAGTGCAGTGGTGCAATCTTGGCTTACTGCAACCCCTACCTCCCAGGTTCAAGCAATTCTGCCTCAGCTTCCCGAGTAGCTGGGACTACAGGTGCATGCCACCATGCCCAGCTAATTTTTGTATTTTTAGTAGAGAGGGGGTTTCATCATGTTGGCAAAGATGGTCTCGATCTTTTGACCTCATGCTCTGCCCGCCTCGGCCTCCCGAAGTGCTGGGATTACAGGCGTGAGCCACCGCGCCCAGCCCATGTCTAGTTTTAAATCACTGGATTTTACAGGTCTTCTATTTTTCAAGTGGAGCACACTCTAAAATTCTGATTGAGCAGGTCCTCTGTCCTGTCTGATGCACCTGTTTCTAGGGGCTCACGCTTCTCATACAAAGTAAGGCACCTTCTTCCCTAACCCCTAATGTGGCATTTGCACCATGTGAAATGCTCAGGACTATGTAATAGATGAAGCCCCACTGCTTTTGATTCATTTAAAGTCACGAAAGTTTTTTTTATATAAAAATCAATTTTCAAGTACTCAGATCCTTGAATAAGAAGAATGTTGGGAAGTAATGAAAAATGTCAAGGTCAGTTATAATTTTAATTTTCTTTTGGCATTTGGAACGTTGTATTATGGTGGCTCAGCAGATGGAATAAGCCGTCCTGAAGCATTCTGTACAGGAGTTTGGCTATTTAAGGTCATCTTCAATCAAAAAAAGGAGGAAGGGAAGCAGTGTACCCGCAGATCACATATTTCCCTCTGCCCAAATTTGCTGGCATCCCTGCCATTGGCAACAGTGGCGGTGTTATCCAGTAGCTGGGAGCTAACTGATCTCAGCTATTTGTGGTTTGAAAAGTGGTTTTCCTAGAGCAGTAATTAGCATGAGGCAGATACAAAGTATAGTTTATTCTGTTTCTCTCCTCCTGGGGTGAAGCCTGACTGCTTATCAAATGCAGAAAGCCCTCACTCTCACTATCTTCACCTCTCTATGCTCTCATCTTCACCTCTAGAAAAAAACTAGAGAAAAAAGAAGGATGGAACAAAGTTGAAATATACAGAAAGATGAACGAATTCTGTTTAAGCTGCACCATTGAGCTGGTTGTGCAAACTTGACTGTAATAAGTATTTTGAGAGCACACATTTTTATTGGTTGGTTAAAGATACATCACCCCTATGGAGAATTGAAATATGATTTGGTAAGTTTCCGAACAAAAAGTATGCATTATCTGATTTGTCAGAATTTGCTTAAAAAGTATAAAATTACTTCCTATTGGCTTTGTTATAATAGATTTGCTCTTGATCATTTTAAAATAGATTCCTCTGGTTGTTAGGTACTACATAATTCAAGAAAAAAATTTTATGATTGATGCAATAACTTTTCAACACTGTCATACTACATTGTTACTCCTTCACATTACTGATTTCTAATTGCTTTGAAAAATGTATTATGCTTATGAGTATAGTATATAGTTATTTACCACATAAAAGCTTAGAAATATGCTTTGGCTAAATCATGAATTGCATATTACAAGTAACAGTGGACATTGTTGCTTTGGATTTCTACACATATGCTATTTGCAATTGTTTACATATGTTAGAATCCCTTGCATTTAAATAGTTCATTATGTAAATATGTAGAAAATACTTGGATATTTATTTTCATGGAAACTTCTACTTAATCACTGAATTAAGATGATATCTTAATGTTCACTGCTATATTTTATATTCAGTAAATAACCCATAAATATTAAAGCCTAAAAAAATCACATTTAACTTTTGAATGTTAAAAAATAATGCTCCTATTTGGAGTAGATATGATTAGTTCATTCTACTGGACCCTAATACTGATGGTGACAGATATTTGGGTAAGCAGCCTTTGTTTTGCTTACCTTCTGGCTGGGACAGCTCCCATTTTCCATTGGGCAGTGGAGCCTTTGGCAGTAGAGAAGTTAATTGTGACTTTATGGGCTGTGCACTGAGTTTTGTGCCATTTCAGTGTTGGTTCTAGGTTTGGTTTGGCCTCACTCAGTTCCCCAAAGCCAGCAACAGTCCCAGGAAACTAAGCCCAGGAAACTGCCTTGGTTAGCAGGTCATTTCCAATCCTGTACTTAGGCAAGTAGGGTTTATATTGCTCATTCTTCGAGAATTGCCCTCTTTTGTTTCGGATCTATTGACACGCTTAGCCCTACCACAGAATGACATCAGCTTTGGGAAGCCCCGCCCTGACTCAGAATCAGATGGGGCCTGGACAGGTGGTGATCTGGGGGCCATTAGAATCACTGCGGCAAGAGGAAAAGGTCATGTGTTGGGTGCTAGACCCAGACCCAGGAAACTGGGGTTCTCATCCACAATTCGCACAACTCACTCTGCCTCTATTAACCTTGTTCTCTTATTAACAGAACAAGAGCTCCTGAGTTCTTTTAAGTTCTAACATTCTAATATTCTCTAAGTCTTTTGGGTAAACTATGATAATAACAAAAATTAAAAAGTAGAAACCACAGAAAGCAGTGAAAATGGCAGCTCCTATTCTAAGCCTACTCTAGAAAAGATATGTGGAAAAGAAAGGCATGAAGAGACAGTGAGGGAAAGTATAAATGTACTGGTGGCCAAGAAATGTCCCTCTTTCTTGAGGGATATTTTGCTCAGGGGAGTCATAAGCATCATTAGTAGTTTATCAGAGAAGTTCCCTACGTGAGTGAGATGATATATGTAAAACATCTACCTAGCAGATGCCCCCACAATGGTGGTTCTAGTTATGCTCTGTTGTGGGAGAAGATGAGGTAAGTGCCCTACTTTAAAAATGGTAAATCTTCCCCTCCTCTCATGCTTTTTCTTTTTGTCACAGTCTGGCTTCTAGGGTAGACCTACCTGTTCATAGTTGATATTTTCTATGAGAAAATTTCATGCATTATTAAGCATATTTGACATTATATTTATAATAACAAACTAACATTTAACTTTAACTCTCCTGTGTTCTTCATTTGAATATTCCAATTGTCCTGAAACTCAAACACAATGAACAACAATAAACTTGAGTTACAGTGATGACCTCTGGCACCTCATCTGGGTCCCTGTATTGTTTAAGAATTAGGAGAAAGATGTCTCTGAGATCCAGCTAGAAAGTAGGCAGGGAGGGTGCCTTCAAGTATAGACATGTACAGTTAACAGTACAGGGTTATAGAGCCAGAGGGGGTTTTCGGCCCCAAGGAAAGACAAAATGAAAATTAATTTTTATGTCGATTCTTCAAAGACCTGGAACCAGAAATACCATTTGACCCAGTAATCCCATTACTGAATATATCCCAAAGGAACATAAATCATTCTATTGTAAAGATACATGCATGCGTATGTTCATTGCAGCACCATTCACAATAGCAAAGACATGGAATCAACCCAAATGCCTGTCAGTGATAGACTGGATAAAGAAAATGTGGTGCATATACATCATGGAATACTCTGCAGTCATAAAAAGGAACAAGATCATGTCTTTTGCAGGAACACGAATGGAGTTGGAGGCCATTATCCTCAGCACACTAACACAGGAACAGAAAACCAAACACCACATGTTCTCACTTATTAGTGGGAGCTGAACAATGAGAACACATGGGCACAGGGAGGGAAAAAACACATACTGGGGCCTGTCAGAGGGGCAAGGGAAGGGAGAGCATCAGGATAAATAGCTAATGCCTGTGGGGCTTACCTAGGTGAGCCTAGGTGATGGGGTGATAGGTGCAGCAAACCACCATGGCACACGTTTACCTAATGTAACAAACCTGCACGTCCTGTACATGTATCCCGGACCTTAAAATAAAATAAAATTAAAAAAATGCAGTTAGTTTTTAATTGAAGTTTTGATTACTTTAGAAAGCCAGCCACATCTCCAACCCTTCCCAAGTTATCTGTAAAGGGATAGCCGAGGCCATGAGGCACAGGAAAAGTACTAACATGCTTCCCCGCCAGCTCCACATTCTTCAGTTAAAGAACTAAATCTTCAAGTGCCGGGAATCCTTTCCCACAGGGAAAGGATTTGATGACATCAGCTTTGGGAAGTCCAGCCCTGACTCAGAATCAGGTGGGGCCTGGACAGGTGGTGATCTGGGGGCCGTTAGAATCATTGTGGTGAGAGGAAAAGGCCATGTGTCGGATGCTAGACCCAGACCCAGGAAACTGGGGTTCTCATCCACAATGGGATTACCCAGTAATCCCATTACTGAATATCCCAAAGGAATATAAATCATTCTGTTGTAAAGATACATGCAGGCATATGTTTATTGCAGTACTATTCACAATAGCAAAGACATGGAATCAACCCAAATGCCCATCATTAACAGACTGGATAAAGAAAATGTGGTACATAATCCACCAACAGAATCATTTTAGTTGGGCAGAAGTCTCGAACCATCTCATTTCCTTTCCTTTCTCTTGGTCACTCATTGGGTCTCTTCTTGATGTACCAGCAAGCTTCTTGGGAGCATGGCCCACATCTTTGTTTTACCCCCACTTTTGCCATAATCCCTTGCTATTTGGCATTCACTGTCACCATTTCACTGAGTCTCTCTCAAGATACTCACAAATTCCTAATGCCATATCATGTCTTTTCTCCAGACCTCACTTTCTTCTATGACTTGATTGCATCTGACATCTGGAATCACTTAGTCCTTAAATTTCTCTTACCCTTAGCATCTTGACACCATGCAATCCTACCCCTCAATTTCACTGGTTAAATCCTATGCTCCTTTACTGGCTCTTCATCCTCCACACACCTCTGAAATGTAGGGAATCACTCCCCTGCATTTCTTGTTTCCTTACTCCATTACTTATTTTCTCGGTGACCTCCACCAATTCCCAGAGCTTCGACCCTCTCAACTCTATACAGGCAACTCTGTCTGTCTGTCTAGTGTTGCTCTTTCTGCAAAACTCTGAACCCATATTTTAAGCTTCCTACAAGGCAATGATGTATTACTATCATATCAGTTGCTAAGGTGTGTGTGGAAATGACAATCTGACGAAAGGTTTGATGGATATTCTAGCAGAAGTGTATTTAGAGATAACCCAATGTGCTCAGGTTGTTTGGGGACAACCTTCTGAGACGTTGGCTTGGGGCCTCCTCACCTCTGTTTTTCTTGCTTTTTTTATTTTTTCAGACAGGGTCTGGCTTTGCCACCCAGGCAGGAGTGCAGTGGCGCAACTTCAGTTCATTGTAACCTCTGCCTCCTGGGCTCAAGCAATTTTCTTACCTCAACCACCCAAGTAGCTGGGGTTACAGGTACATGTACCACCAAACCCAGCTAATTTTTGTACTTTTATAGAGACAGGGTTTTGCCATATTACCCAGGTTTGTCTCGAACTCCTGGGCTCAAGAGATCCACTCCCCTCGGGCTCCCAAAGTGCTGAGATTATAGGTGTGAGCCACCATGCCTGGATTCACCTCTGGTTTTCTAAGACTCAGGTCTCAGATGGTCTTATTGACTTCTTGGTTGCAGCCTCTATGCAGATGGCTCACAAAGCTGTCTCCAGACACATCTCTTACTTGAGCTCTAGGTCCTAGAAACAGCTGCCTCCTGGATGCCTCATGCCCATATCTTCCTGGAGCTTTAAATTCAATACATTTAAAACAAACTCATAATTTTCCCCCCCAATTTTGTTTCGTCTCAATATTTATGATAGCGGCCTCATACTAATCATAATGGCCCATGTTTGATGCCTGAAATTCATCTGTTTTTACGCTGTCATCTAATTCTACCCAGTACGTGAAACCATTGTCTGCAGTTTTGGGCTTGAGCTCTTTAAGACTCCTCCCAGCTGTTTTGTCTTCCACATTTCCATGCCCCCGTTCTGACATGAGCTGCTGATAGTGGGGTGGACCCCTGCTCAGACTGTTCACTCTTTCTTCCTGCTCGCATGGGAGCAGTGGGCATCCCTACTCATGAATGCTCGGTGTGACCAGGTGACTTCTTAGCCAGTAGGACAGTGGCAGGTCTGACTCAACAGAGACTTGAAATGTGCCCACCCACTTGGGCCTGTGCCTTCTCCAGAAGAGCACACCAGGGCTAACCCACTGATCCTAGGAGGGCAATGTAAGCCACGTGGAAGCCTGGATCAGGCGAGCCCCAGTCAGCCAGCAGATCTGAAGGTGGTCGTTGTTGGCTGCTGGAATGCTGTGGCTGTTTGCTCCCCGCATTACTGCAGCCATAGTGAACCGGCAGAGCCCTGTTTCTGTTCTGATGGTCCATGCTTGTAATTCTGTCTTCCCTCTGTCTCAACTCCAACCTTCCTTCACAATTTGTAGACTACTGACTACTATTCTTTTTTTTTTTCTTTTTTTATGAGACAGAGTCTCACTCTGTTGCCCAGGCTGGAGCGCAATGGCCTGATCTTGGCTTACTGCAACCTCTGCCTCCTGGGTTCAAGCGATTCTCCTGCCTCAGCCTCCCGAGTACCTGAGATTACAGGCACCTGCCACCACACCTAGCTAATTTTTGTATTTTTCGTAGAGATGGAATTTCACCATGTTGGCCAGGCTGATCTTGAACTCCTGACCTCAGGAGATCCTCCCGCCTTGGCCCCCCAAAGTGCTGGGATTATAGACCACTATTCTTAAAGCGCCTTTGTTGTCATAGCCTTCTGTTGCCCAACGGCTGTCAGGGGCTCCCTGTCTCTTATTGGGTTAGTCCCCTCTGCCCCTTCTCAGTGAGGACCCTGCCCCATGGCCCTTCCTCCATTTCAAGGTGCGCTCCCTCTCTCTTCCTGCCTGTACGCTGCCGTCAAACCAGCAGCTTGGCGCACTCAAAATGCACCTGCCCTTTGGTCCCTTGTCTGTCTTCTTGTTGTTTCAGAGCCTCGATGGTCTGGCCTATACTGTTAATCAATTTTAAAACCCTAACTATTTTTCAGGATAAATCCTTGATGCCGTCTCCTCATGAATTCTGTGCCATCCTTTCAACACCAGACATGTTGTGATCTCTTTCTTCTTTCAACATCATTAGTACTTTTTTAAAAAAAAACATTATGCTCGCTTTTTTTTTTTGGTGTACTCGTCTTCCTGTTTCTTCATCACTCCTACCTCACCCTCTCTCCCAAACACTCTTATATGCTTGGCTGTAAGCTCTCTTTCTTTTTATTTTTAGGCAGGACAGGGTCTTCTAATTTTTGCCTTTTCTATAGTTTGAAAATCAGGGCATTATGAAGTAGAATATGACTTTTAATTAAAAGTGAAAAGAGTGAAAAAAAAACAGATTGTATTTGCCTCATTACCTAAAACATCACCTATCATAATGGAATGGAATGTTTGTTTTACGTTATAGGGAAGGCACACTGTATACTGTGAGTCATTCTGTGTCTAGGGTCCTTCACTTTGGGAGGAATGAACAGCTCTATATAGTCACAGGTCTATTTGAAGTCCCAGGGATCCTCAGAGTTGAGGAGAGACAATGCTCAGCCTGGTGGGGCCCAGAAAGACAAGGCTTTGTCTATGCTGCTGTGGCTCTCAGGACCTGGACTATCAAGGGTAGTCTAGACGGATGCATACCCAAGGGATCGGAGCAGCAGTTCCTATAAAATTAGAAACCATCTCAGATCAAATTAGATTCCTGAGAAAATTGTGCCCATTCATTTGATTAATCATTGTTCATTCAGTTTAGAAGTAATGATACATGGTAATTTTAGTCCAGATATTCTGAGATACCAGCAATCGCATGAACACGCTACACTCGTGATGTATTTAACACGGGAGTCTGTCATGCCTTACCGCATTCCTTGGGGCCTCTAAGAGGGAAAGTTTCACCCAGAACTAGGGGCCATGAGTGCATAGGGGGAGCCCCCACTAAAGATGGTGGGTGGTTAGAATAACCAAGTTTCACCTGCAAATCCCTGCAGTATCTAAACCATAGAAACCATCTTTCTGCCTTCTGTGAGCTGGGAAATACGAGCTGTGTGCTCTGGGTGAAAGCCATTTGGGCTGTTAGCAATGTCTGGGAAACTTTTTCTGCATTAGTTGTATCAGGAAGTCAGTAGCTTTTTCCTTTCCAATGACTCACCGAGCATATTTTATCAGACGTATGACTTACCTACAGGGGGACTTAAAATTTTCACCATGCTTTAGGGAATTGTCTGAGTCTTAGAACATTGGAGCAAATGATCCACTTTCTATGAGAGGACATGGAGGTCCTGTTGGCACTATTAATACGAAACCCTTGCCTGTACGGGAGGCGTCCTCTGGCCTCAGCCTCCCCTCCTTCTGCTCGCTGCAGGGGACAGGATACCATCCTGACCTGGGGCCAGGTCTTTCCCTGGAGCTTCATTACATGCGACACCTGATTCTGATATAGGCGTTCTGAAACCAAGGAGGGCTCACCAAATCACTGTGGCATATTCTTATAAGCTATGGAAAAAGACAGGTTTATAGATGAACAGTTTCATAACTCTTCACTGAGTATTCGGCCCATCATGTCAGTTTTGATTATTGTGCAAAAAATAAAAATGCCTGCTTCTATTTTGTAGATTCACCAGCCATGCTCTGGAGCAGAAAACTGTCGAGTGCTTGGATATGTGTGTTTCTATATAGAAATGTTTGGCATGGCTTATTAAATTGTGTCTTTTCTGTAATATACAGTGACTTTAAGTGACTCTTTCTATATATAAACACACACACAAACACCCATATAAACACACACACATAAACAAACACCTAAACACACACACATAAATACACATATAAACACACACACATACATGTACATACAACAGTGTATAAATATGTAACTTTATATTTTTATTATTATTTATAAATAGGAAATGAAGTTACAATCCTTGAAATTATAATGGCAAACACACAAAAGACACAGTTGCTGGCACAGAATTCAATTAACAGATAGCAATCACCCTTGGGTGACTGTGTGAGGTGGAAATATACAGGCATGCTAATAAGTAATATCTTAAAGCCACCACGTTTATCAGCACGCAGTCAGACATGTGCACAAGTGTGGGCAGACAGTGTTGCTCTAGGATATTTAATAAAAACCAGCTCTCTCCATTTAAGCATTTGTGTTTAATCATTCAGCAACGTTTTAAACATCCCGGCTGGCAGGCTCTTCAAATGGAACAGGTTTCGGCAGAAAATGCAAGGAGTTATTTTGCTCTACCTGGTTGAGAAGGGTAGAAGGGGCAGAAATAAGGAGAAGTTGAGGATGTTTTTCCTTGTCGTTTTCTGACCTTCGCACCACTTCAGTGTGCATCTGCTGGGTGAATCACAGCTTCATCTCAGGAAACATACAGAAGGCATTCGTTAATGCAGAACAGCCAGATGACTGACTCTCTGCAAAATAACATTCGCCTCAGTACAGGCTTCGTATTGCTTATAGCTGTATTTTTCTAAGCTCATATTTTAGTTAAAGATGAACATGGGGTGTTTCAAAACTGGGTCAGTTTTCTTTTCTTTTTTATATATTATGTGGAGATATTTCTGTACTAGGTCGAAGACATTCCTTAAGTGCCTTTGAAGATATTTTGTAGTAAGTACCAGCAAAGAGCAAAGAAAGGTTACCTTACAATGGGGAGTGGTATAGCTTTCTAGAAGGAGAATGTGAATTTGTCGAAAGAATGCAAAGCTTCATATTAGACCAAAAGGAAAATTGTCTTATATTGAAATAAATCAGAAGCCATGTTTATGGTTGCCAAGATTAAAATCCTCATCACGCAGAATGGTTCAAGAACAGCATCGACTGGCATCTAGGTCATGCGATTTGCCTGGAGGTGTTATGTTGTGTTTGCTACAAGCAGATGCCTGGGGGAATCTGACTGCTTAGCAGATGGCTTTGAGGGGAGAGTATCTTCTGCATTTGGTTCCTTGAATCAATCAAACCTTCTGTAAAGCTTAGTTCTTCAAAGCATAGAAAGAAGGGAGGGAAGAAAAGATGAGGATAAAAAAATTGCCTCACTGTAGGTATAGCTAAGGGAAGTAGGAATAGATTATACTTCAAGTGTATTTTTCAAGTACCTAGGTCTTTTGGAATATTTCTCCTTTCAGGTTCAAGTTTTATTTTTTCAAAGTAAGAAAAAAAATCAAATACCAAAACTGAGGCTGGTGTAGACTCCAGATGTATAATGAGCAATTGTAATTTTAAGTATAAATGTGGAGATAAAAAAATGGTGCTGTTGGTTTTAGACTGAATAATTATTTGTTGTTTCCAGCCTTGGCTGACTAGAGCCAAATTGGAGTCAAGATTCTGCTACCTGCCTGTGCTGTTCAGTAGCCACTTCCTCACTCCACGGCCTAACTTGTGGTCTTGAGAGATTTTCCTGTCTACAGAGTAACCTCAACATTATCTCTGAAAAAGAATCCTTTCTGAAGGAAGTGGGACATGTCCCTAGGGAGACTGTCAATGTAGAGCCAACACTTGATCCCAACTTCTGTGATTTCTCTTCTGTTAAGTAAATACGGGTGTGTGAGTCCAGGATTCACTTTACTGATGTCTAAAAGGATCAATCATTGCCAGATTTGGAGATAATGGTTTGTGCTTGATCCAAAATTTTAAAATCTCTTAAACCTGCCATTTATGATTCCATGCAAACTAATGTGGGCATTAGGGAAACAACAGTGAGGACTCAGCTGGTGAACCTGGGTGCTTATGTCTTAGATGAGTAGTTGGACATTTTCTAGAAAATGGGCGAGAGTTCCTACAGACTTTTTTGATTTTTCTTAATGTTTCTAAGTTTTAGCTATGTCATGGAGTGTGTACTTCTTATGAGTCTTGTTGCAACACAGCATCTACAAAACTCCTGTGACTCTTGAAAGAAATAACAGCTCACATGGGCTTCTAAGTACTTACAAATGATGGGTTAGGCTGTAGGAAACGTGTAATACAGAACAAGGAAGTGAATGACTACTCTTACTAAAGAATTAGGCTCCATTTTAGGGGAAATAATATTTTCAAATTTAATTTTGCACATAGGAGTGCAATCTTAATATTAAAAAATCATTACCAAAGGCTTCTCTCGCTTGTGATAGGAAATTTTTACCATTATTTTATGTGTCTCTGTATGTGCTTGGCTTGCACTGCTAATACACCATTCTAAATGGATCAGTTCTCGGAGAATTAATTAGAGTTTAAGACATGCACACACCACACCACACACACACACACACACACACACACACAATGAGAAATATTGTAGTTGGTCAAATCAATAATCCATGTATCCAAGTTTTCTGCGCTAGAAGAAGTACCAAGAGATTTTGAAATGTAAAAGAATATGGTTGTTTAAGATGACATCGGTATCAATTTTTTGAGGATTAACTACAGTTACTTATTTTAAAATGCTTGGATGGATAGTAGGATTTGTAGGAAATATAGGAAAATAAAACAGATGTGGTCCTGAACTCCAGGAATCTATAACCTAGCCGAGGTCATAGAATGAACATCCACGGTATTACATCAAGCATTTTGAGACAACGTGTCATTAAGCAGTGACCTGTGTGTACTGGACTCTTAGTCCTGTGACTGCTTAGAACAAGGATCCTGAAGGAGGGTAGGGCGTGGCAAGGCCAAGTGGGCAACGTAGATATTAGGGGTTCATCATACTCCTCCATGAGGAAGTTATATCATGGATTTGTGCAAATTTTACATGACTCTTTTACAAAAATACAACATTTCTCTCTCTTAGGCCATCAGGTTTGCAACTGAAGTGTTTAATTTGACCTAAATTTGCTCACTTCTAAATTTCAAGGGGCATCTCTTCATTTTGTTATGTGTGAATAGAGATTGTTGGATGAATGAATGGCCCACCCCACTCGTATATTTCAATATGTTTTTAGACTTGAGATGTCTCGTCATGCTCTTGATGAGTGTAGCTGGAATAAACAGCATTGCACAGGCAACCTATTGAGGAAGGGTGTAAGCTGGGACTTTTGGCAGTGAGACTTCCAGCTGGGCTTTTTCTGTGGTGTTCTCTCTTGCCTGAGCTCTGGGGTTGGGGTGAAGAGGAAGGGAGGATGCTCTAAATTTGAGCTTAGGGTGTGGAGCTTTATGAAGGTGAGGCAGTTGGGCATCAAGAAGTAAAGGGGAGGTTCTGGAGGCATGAGCAGGGAAAGAATGCTGTCAGTGTTGGGACTCACGGAGGACATGGAGCTGTAGAGACACAAAGGAAAATTGTTGATATAATCCTGATAAAAGGTGATGAGTGCCTGTAATAGAGACAGTGGAGTTGTGGCAAAGAAACATGGAGCTAAATGCAATAAAAGTCATGAACAGAAACTTGAAGAGCTTGATAACTGATTTTGGGGGTGAGGGAGCCAAGGAGTCTGGAACAGGGAAGCCACAGTGTCATGTGCTACAGAGAAGTGGAAGGGGATGAAGCTGAGCAAGCGAGGCAGGATTTGGTCATTCCATGGTCGGTAGTGAATTTTTGAGACAGTCATTTTGGTAAAAGGCTGAGAAGGAAGCAAACAGGTGGTGAGAATGTGGGGGCAGGAGTTTTCTGCTACTTTTCAAAGAAGTTGAAAAAAAAAAGGGAGTTGTAGGATCCAAAGAATTGCCTCCCCTACCTTGCGCTGTTCAGTAGCCACTTCCTCACTCCAAGGCCTAACTTGTGGTCTTGAGAGATTTTCCTGTCTACAAAGTAACCTCAACATTTTGTCTGGAAAAGAATCCTCTCTGAAGGAAGTGGGACATGTCTCTGAGGAGACTGTCAATGCAGAGCCAACACTTGATCCCAACTTCTGTGGTTTTTCTTCTATCAAGTAAATACAGGTGTGTGAGTCCAGGATTCACTTCACTGATGTCTAGAAGGATCAATTGTTGCCAAATTTGGAGACAATGATTTGTGCTTAATCGTGAAGATCCACTCCTCTGTAGCGCATGACACTGTTGCTTCCCTGTTCCAGACTCCTCTGCTCCCTAATCCCCGAAATCAGTAACCAACTTCTTTCAAGTTTATATTCACCAGGAGAATGAAGTGGATTTGTGGCCGGAGAGGAAAGAGGCATAGGGAGGGAAAATACTGAGGAAGAAAGAGCACATGCCATCAATGGAGTGAGGTCTTGGGGACGATGGTTGGGGTTGGGATTTAAGCTGTGGCCAGGAGGAAAAGTCCTTGTTCCTCAAAGTCTGCCCTTGCTGGACTGATAAGTAGGTGGGCTCGTCACTTTCCTCTTGAGCATCCTCTTTCCTGTTCTGTAAATTGGGGGTAATAATGCCTGCTAGCAAAACCATAGTTAAAATGAAATACAAGAGTATATGCAATGTGCTTAGCACAGCGTCCGAATAGCAGGCACATAGCGAGTGATGAGAAGTAGGACGAAGACAATAATGGTGACAATCTCGTACGAGGCCTAGGAGAGCACCTGGGACACTGAGTATACTCAAACCATGCATGGATTCCCATGGAACCAGACAATGGGGACCCTGGCAGGCACGGAGAGCAGCTCAGGCAGGATGTTATCCTGTGTCACACTCGCCGTCCTTTTACACGTAGAGTTAACACAGAATTTTAGCATCCTGGGTTCTAGCCTGCTTTCAAGGAGCAAGAGCTGGAGTTTATGGAGTCAGGGCCTGGCCCTTGAGGAGAAATCATGGCCACGGCTGAGGGTGAGTCCAGGTGCACCCTGATGCGTGGTGTCCATGAATGGAAGAAGAGCTGGGAGCCACAAGTGTGGTCTGAACAAAATTTCAAATTTAAATGGACTGGGCTGAGAGAAGAAGAGCAAGACAAAGGGGCTGCAATGCAAAGGACCCTAGGGAAGTAAGGACAGATAGAGTCACCCCATTATAGGACACCTGGGGCTTGATCCAGAGGAGAGGCGGGGGCTATTCCAGGTGCTGAATCAGACACCCCCACCCTCATGACCACTATCACTGCCCAACTTTTGCCACCTGTGGTTGGCATCAGTGCTTGGAGATGCTGAAACTTGTATTGGGGTAAAAGGTTTCAGAATGACTCTTGCTTCAGGAGCAGTTATATACAACAGAAATGAAGGGAAAGGAAGGGGAGGGGGAGGGAAGGGGGAGGGGGAGGGGGGATGGGGGAGGGAAGGAAGGAAAAGGAAGAGAAAGAAAAGAAAAAAGAAAAAGAAGAGGGAGGGAGGAAGGGGCCCAATTAGGACAGAAACATTTGACCAGCACTTTGGCCATGTGTGGTCATTCCTGCAGATTCCTACTGTCATTGGGAATGGGGGATTTCCTCGGTCCCCAACACGCACTTGTGAGGAAAGTGACCTGCGGCCTGGCTGACTGCCCTCCATGGGCACCCACTCTGCATGTTTGAAAATATGGTGGTCCTTGTCCCCTGAGGCAGTAATGCGTGTGGTACCTCGTGGATTGCTGTACTTTCCTAAAATGCTGAAACTTTTCCTTGGAGAAAATTCCCATGTCTTTCATGTGTCATCAAAGTTAGATGCTTTCCAAGGAAAGTTAGTCCATTTCGAATAAAAAAGGAGCCTTTGCTTGGGTCACACCCTGCATTCTAGCAACCATGCTCCTTTTCCTTTCTCCTTTCCTTTGAACGTGTGTGTCATGCTTGGAAAATTTCCTCTTCATATTTCTGCTAAAAAAAAAAAGTCCAAAACACCTTAATTGCATGGTGGAGAAAGTGTTTTTCAGGAACACTCTTGTTTCCTGCCTACTTCTAGGAGTGAAAACCAAGGTTGATTTACACCCTCCTCTCAGATTAATATTTACCTCCTTGAATTTTGGCAGGAAGTGCAAATGCAAATCTCCCTCTGACTATTACATAGTTTGCATTCAATCAGGAACAAGGTAGCAAAAAACTGTTGCAGGAACCCAAGTTTCTCCCCAAGAAATGATGAGTGACTAAGATAGCACCAGTATAAAAATGCCACAGCTCTTGGATTGGAATGTGGCCTTCTGAAGAACCATCTTGCCTGGTCCTGGCCTGAGGCATGTCAGATAATATCTACCACTGGCCAAGTTTATAGCCATCTTTTCCAATCCACCTCAGAGGCTGTGTCTTATGTCACCCTTTTAAGTTCCCCCAGCAGTTCCTTTCTCCCTCTCCTGTGGCATAACAGCTCCTTGCTTATATCTCTGAAGGCACTTATCCTATGGAATTGGCTGCCAGCTTCTCTGTCTCCATGAGGACCAGGGTTGGCATTTATCAATGTGTTTCTCATTCCTATTATAAAGAGTTAATCTGGCACAGTCATATATTAGTATAGTAAACATGCTTTATGCTTATGTACTGTTGGTGGGAATGTAAATTAGTTCCACCTCTATGGAAAACAGTATGGGGATTTCTCAAAGAACCAAAAATAGAACTACCATTCAACCCAGAAATCCCACTACTGGATATCTGCCCAAAGGAAAATAAAGCATTATATTAAAAAAGGCACCTGCATTTGTATATTTATTGCAACTCTATACACAATAGCAAAGTCATCAAACTAAGTGTCCACCAATGATGGACTAGAAGAAAATGTGATGCATATACCATGGGATACTATGCATCCATAAAAAAGAATGAAATCATGGCCTTTGTGCAACATGGTTGGAGCTGGAGGCCATTATCCTAAGGGAACTAACTCAGAAGCAGATCAAATATCGCATGTTCTCACCTGTAAGAGGCAGTGAAACAATGGATACACGTGGACATGAACATGGAGATAATAGACACTGGGAACTCCAAAAGGGGGGAGGGTGGGAGAGGAGTGAGTGTTGAAAAATTTCCTGTTGGGTACAGTGTTCAACATTTGGGTGATGGGTTCACTAGAGGCCCAGTCCTCCTCATTTCACGAGCAATTCCCATGTAACAAACAAGCACACGTACCCCCGGAATTGAAAATAAAACATTGAAAGAAAGAAATTATCTGACCTACTCTGTTTGACTGTAGGTGGTAAGACTGTAATTCCAGAGAGGGTCCTGCCACATACCCAGAAGGAAGGAATGCTGCTCAGAGAGGCCAAGAAGAATCCGGACAGACAGGCCCTGCTGAGTCCCCACTCAGCCTATCAGCATTAGATCACATCCTTTTTGTCCAAACTTATCTCCACACAGCTGTCCACCCTGTGTTGAACCTAAGCATAAAGATTTGCGGCTTCTCCTGTGTTTTTGGTTCTTCATTCTGAAGGCTCCTACGTCACATCGAACTATGATCAAATACATCTGTATGCTTTTTATCCTAAAAGAATAAAAATAAAAACATGTTTTAATCCTCACTTTATTACCAGATGACACAATTGAATTCTAGAAGTTTAAAACGCCTATCTTCAGGAGTAAGTGGTGAAGTTAGACGTGCATGTTCAGCAGTAATGCAGTTATCCTAAACCAGATATTTTTCACTTTCATACAGAAGTTTTTTAATTGGCCCATTAGAAATTCCTAGAATTATTCTTTCATATTGCCTTCAAAATCTTCATTAAACATTGGCTAATCAGAGAACTAATGAATATTTACTGTCATCAAGCCAAGGTCCAGCCAAGAAGCTTGCAGCTATGGTGCCCCCATTTCTGGTGGATACCTGTGTCCCCATCACCCATGAGCCAGGTACAGCCCTCAGCCTTCTCCCATGATGGTTGAGGGTTGAGGGCTGTACCTGGCTCATGAGTCCAGGAAGGGAGTGAACATTCTGCTGCTACCTAAAGTGTAGTTACTTCCAGCAACCAACATGCCCTCCTTTGGTTCTGCCATCTACCCAGGCCAGAAGATATAGACCCCAGAGTGGGGATTGGCCCTGGGAGATTTGTACAAACATCAGTGAGGTCTCCTGACCCAGAGCTTCTGTGGAGGCAGAGATGCCCAAACCATCTGCAGCATCTGGAGACAGAGTCCAAAACATCCTGCTCACGCTGATCCACTAAAACTAGCCACAAATAGCCCACTCTTAGATATGAGTTCCAATTCAGAGCATTTTAATGGAAAGTTTAATGGACAGTTTAGGTGATGGTGTCATCCATTGTGCTTGAAGTCCCAAGGCTAGTTTCATTTCCTACTCATTTCTTTTCTGTAGAGTCCTTTAAAATGGCCCAGCTTGCCCCAATGAATTTTTTTTTATCACTCCTGGGCCCCAGCATGGTGGAGAGGGCAGGGTTGGTGGCACCTGTGCAGCCCATCACCACCCAATCTTATTCTCAGCTCCTTTGACAGTCAGGGCTTCTACAGTTCCTCAGGAGTGATGTAGAATTGTTCTACCTCGACCTACACCTTCTCCTTTACTGGACTCTCTCAATGTTCAGAATGATACTCAATTTGCAGGGTCCTCTTGGGTTCACAGCAAATGCCAGAGTATGCTCTTTCTCCAACTTTCACCCAGTCTGAACATCCAACCCTTTGGCCATGCATTCAGTCATAAACTCACCCTTACCTAAAATACCCTGACACTGAGTCTTCCCACCCTGCACATTCCTGGCCAGCCTCCTGGTGACTCAACGCCGCATGTCTGTCTTTGGCTGCCGTCTCAGCCACTGCTGTCCTCCTTGAATTGCAAGTGTCCAGAGGGCAGGGACTGGATCCCTGCAGTGCCGTCTGCAATTCTCAGACCTGCCTTCATTACTTCTGGTAACTAACGTGACCTCTGGTTTGGGCTGCCTTTCTTTTTCGCGCTTATGAAAATGCATGCAAAGCACACCTAGCAGGGGGTGCAGACCTACAAGTGGCCTTACTTTCCAGATTGTTCATGTGCCTCCTCAGCACCTAGCATTTCATTATTTCGACTCCACCTTGTTCCACATGGGTTTAAGGCATTGTCTTGGAACATGAATCACAACAATAATGAGTGAGAACAAACTTTCATAGCTTTTGCAGAGCAGAATGACTGGTCTATGACAAGACTTTTTGTAATTGTGCATTTTCATCTTTCAGCTCAATCATCGTTTTTCCTTTTTCTTAATTTTCAAGTCTCATGAGTCTCCAAATCATAGCATCTGCAACCATTTTTCTGTGCAAAGGGCTCCGTGAAGTGCCTAAGCATGGTCTTCTTTAAGCCTCGACATGACCCTGTGATACAGGCAGTAGGTGCTGTTACATCCGTCGTAAAGATGAGAAGCTGAGAATCAGAGAGATTAGTGCTCTTTCCTGAGGTCACAGAGAGCAAGTGGAGGGGAACAGGACTCTTCCTGCTGCATCTTTTGGCCCTTCGCATCCTGCGCTGTCCAGGTGAGAGTCAGCACTCCACAGGTGAGGGACATTGGAATGGAGGTGGCAAGAGTACCCTGCAGAGGTCGGAAAAGCTGAAAACCATCTCACTCAGAAGTTCCAGGACTTGATGGAGTCAGTGAGCCAGAACAAATGCTCAATCATCTCTCGGAGGAAAGATGAGCTGGAATGCCAGTGAGATCTGAGAGATGGTCTTCGGGGGAAGCTGCCTACGTCTTTGTATGGAACCTCCAGCTTTGAAACAGCCTCAGGGAAGAATCTTATAAAAGCTGCAAGCTAAGCACAAGCTTAGAAAGACATGTGGGCACTGGTAGTTGAGTGAGGAGAAATTCTCCACTTTGCTTATCTGGAACTTGTTTTGAATGAGCAAATGGAAATTTGGGGATTTTAAGGCTAGTTTTCTAGGCTTCGTTAATATTTCTCATAAGTCAAATTCTCTGCCATGGTTATTGGGTTTAAGTGAAATTCTAAATTTCTTTACTTTCTTTTTTTTTTTGAAATGGAGTTTCACTCTTGTTGCCCAGGCTGGAATGCAGTGGCACTACCTCAGCTCACTGCAACTTCTGCCTTTTGGGTTCAAGCGATTTTCCTGCCTCAGCCTGCTGAGTAGCTGGGACTGCAGGCCTGCACCACTGTACCCAGCTAATTTTTGTGTTTTTAGTAGAGATGGGGTTTCATCATGTTGGCCAGGCTGGTCTCGAGCTCCTGACCTCAAGCGATCCACCCACCTTGGTCCCCCAAAGTGCTGGGATTACAGGCGTGAGCCACCATGCCCGGCTGAAATTCTAAATTTCTAATGCCCACTGCCTTTCAATGACCCGGATTAAATGGGACTCTCAAAAGAAATGGCTTTTTGTTGAGTATTGCCATCAGAGAACCCGGGTTTCTGCAGTTTCCTTTTATCCTGTGAGAAAGATGCTAGTGATTCTTTACTTTTGAACAAGCATGATTGAATAGCCTGTTTTAGTTACTGTAACAATGCTGTGTAGCAATTGTATTATTTGGAAATAATATGCCATATACAATAATATAATATCAAAGGACAGTAAGGCTCCTGTCTTGGTTTTAGATAAAGAGAAAGCAGATGCTGTTTTATTCTCTTGGTGGATGGTTTAAATTGCCATCAGCGGATCAGTGGTTAATTGATCGTCGATCAGTGGATCAGTGGTTAATTGATCATTGAGGACTTTTGGATCCACTTACTGATAATTACATGAAGTCAATTATTTTTAAGACCTCTTGATTTTCAAATCATGGCCTGTCATTTAGCCTTCCGAACTTTTTATGTGCGGGGAGGGAAGGGGGTAGGTGAGCCAATGTGATATTACTGTCACAATATTACTGCCATTGAATGACAGAACTTTCG